>NC_000005.10:176964889-177115334 GCF_000001405.40 Homo sapiens | reverse complement strand
TTCTCCTGTCTCAGCCTCCCTAGTAGCTAGCTGGGATTACAGGTGTGTGCCACCATGCCTGGATAATCTTTTTGTATTTTTAGTAGAGATGGGGTTTCGCCATGTTTGCCAGTCTGGTCTCAAACTCCAGATTTCATGTGATCCGCCCGCCTCAGCCTCTCAAAGTGCTGGGATTGCAGGTGTGAGCCACCTCGCCCAGCACACAAGTTACCATTAATAAATATTTCTTTATTGCTGCATGCAAGAGCTTGTAGTGCTGTCTATTGTGACAAGCACACAGTGTGTACTTCATTACTCTGTACTGAATGCATGCAGAAAGGATGTCCGGCATAGTACACGGCACAGAGGAAGTCCTCCATCAAAGTTAGCTCTCTTCCTCTTTAGAAGCTAGGAGGGCCGGGGAATTCAGTCTTGGGAGCCTTGGCTGGGATGGGGGAGGGAAACTGTGGGAACACCGAGGCGTCGTCCCTCAGACAAGCTCTTCCCCAGCGATAGGAACTATCCCAGCGCCTCACCCACAGTGCAAAAGCTACATAAGTGACCTAAACTTCAGAAGTAGAAAGCAAAAGTGAAAGTCTTTGCCCTTGTCCACTCCCAGGGCAGACCTCTGATCTGTCAGCTCAGCAAAGGCAGCACTGCCCAGTGATGGGGGCGGGAGGCTGAACCAGGACTGATGGCCTAGGACAGGCAGCTGCTGCAGCTGTCCTGGGAGACGCACAGACCAGGGTTCAAAACTTGGTTGGAGGCCGCACGTGGTGGCTCACACCTGTAATCCCAGCACTTTGGGAGGCCGAGGCCAGCGGATCTTTTGAGGCCAGGAGTTCAAGACCAGCCTGGCCAAGATGGCAAAACCCCGTCTCTACTAAAAATACAAAAGTTAGCTGGGCATGGTGGTGCGTGCCTGTAATCTCAGCTACTACTCACTAAGCTGAGGCAGGAGAATTGCATGAACCCCAGAGGCAGAGGTTGCAGTGATCTGAGATTGCACCACTGTGCTCCAGCCTGGGTGACAGAGCAAGACTCTTATCTCACACACAAAAACAAAAACAAAATAACAAAACCTGGTTGGGTGATCTTCGGGGTATGAATTGACTTCTGTGAGTCATCATTTTCACCTATAGGCAGGGGATATGAATGGACTAAAGGAGACTCCTTAGATCTCTCCCTAAATCTCCCTCCATCTCTTAGAGGCATCTAGAAAACATTGGTGTTTGGCTTTTGCTTTGGCTGAAAGGGAGGGAGAAGCAGAGGGCTCATGGTGCACTGTCGCCACCGTGTGACTAGCTGGGGAATTGCATGGGGAAGGTTCTCAGGCCCAGGAAAACGTTATCTGGACTGTGGAGTTTGTTGTTGTTGTTTTTTGAGACAAGGTCTATCTCTGTTGCACAGGCTGGAGTGCAGTGGCGCGATCTCGGCTCCACTGCAACCTCCGCCTCCCGGGTTCAAGCGATTCTCGTGCCTCAGCCTCCCGAGTAGCTGGGACCACAGGCGCCTGGCTATGGAGTGCAATGAAGACTGAGATGGGCCCCTGCTGCCAGCATCCTCTTCCACTGCCTACAGTGCTGTCATCTCTGGGGGAGTGAGCAGCCTACCCCTGGGCTTAGGGTACTGGTGGTGCCTTCTCTGGCTCTAGAACTTTTGTTGACTTCTCAGTGTGGCATTCAAGGCTCCTCACAGCTGGCGCCCTGAACACCTGCTCTGTACTTGGAACTCAGAGTGACTTAGCCCAGACCTTCCCCAAGCCATTCTCCCTACTTTATCCTCCCTTCTTGGTCCTCCTGGAGCTCCTTTTGTTTTCTCCCTGACTGAAATGAAGCGCATTTCCCCGGTGAGCATGTTCAGTTCCCGAGATAGTATTCATGGAAAAAGCAACCATTGATGAGTGCCTGCTGTGTGCCCGGTGCTGTGCTGGAGCCTTGTGGGGATTCATTCTACCTACTCTTCACAAACCTCACTGGGCCAATTACTACGATTGTCCCCGTTTTGCAGAAGAGTACAATGAGGCAGGGAAAGGTAAAGCTGTCCACCCAAAGTCATGTAGTCACTGGATGTGACAGAGTCCTGCCTGTAACTGTTAGGCTGCCTAGTATGGTGGGGAGGGCAGACAGACCCAGGTTCAAATCCCCTCCCTACTGCTCTCAGCTTATTTCCCAGCTGTGAGGCTAAGCTTCCTCCTCTGTAGAATGGGAGGGCAGCTCCCACAGGCCATAGGGGCTGGCTCAGAGAGGCAGGCAGCATGTGGGTGCCTAACACGAGGGTATAAGAGGTATGCATGTGGGGTGGGGCTATCAGAGGAGGCAGCCAGGGCCGGTGTGGAGCACACCAGGGTACGCTAGAGTCCCCTCAGGGAGGTCAGGCAGAGGAATTAGGCTGGCACCTTGCAGGGCTGCCCCTGTCTAGCCCAGAAAGACTGGAGACAGGACTGGGAGCCCCAGCTCAGGACCCAGCCAGCAGGAAGTGGGGGGCTCAAGGATCCAAGCCCCCACCATCTCTCTCCTATGCAGCCCCCACCTGTTGCCCCCAAACCCACTTTTGCCTTGTCAGTGCCTTTTGCACTTGGCAACCTTACGTGGGCCCTTCCAAACACATATCTGACCATGTCTGCTGCTACTGAAAACCTTGACCTTCCACTGTTCACCAGGGACTCAACCCATCACCCAGGACCATGGTACCTGTTGCCACAGCCCTGCCAACCCCGTCACCCTCTCAGGCCTTTGGCCCTCTTCCAACCCCTTGAAGCATCTTGGGCCTTCGCGCATGCTGTTCCCATGGCTTGAGATGCTCATCCTCCCTGCTTAATGTGGAGGTGCTAGAAGCTCTCTTCCAGGGAGGTGGGGAATTGGAACCCCGAAAGAGGAGGAGGAGTTTGGAAAACCAGAAGCGGGGAGACTGTTCTAGGAAGAGAGGGCAGGTGCAAAGGTCCTGTGCACTGGGGAAGGCACTGAAACTAATGAGAACAAGATGCTGTGCCTGAGGCCAAGGCCAGATCATGAAGGTCTCCTATTAAGCGTATTATGGAGCTTGGACCAACGCCTGAGGATGGGGAAGGGTTTGAGCAGGGGCAATTATGGTTTTGTCCATCAGCGATTCCCTTGAGTAAGGTGGAGAGTGGCTTATCAGCATCGTTCTGAAAAACACAGTGCCTAGAGCCAGGGTCTAGGAATCACCCGATCACCACCAGCCAGGGTCCTTCAGGAATCACCCGATCACCACCAGCAGGGGAAGACTCGGGGTCCCCAGCTCAGGCTTGCACCATGCACCAGGCTGGAGTATGCACTTCCTGTGGCTGCCAGCAGGTGGCAACAACGCCCCACCATGTCCCCTCCAACTCTTCCTTCTACCTGGAGACCCCTCACAGGGCAGACAGACCAGAGAGAAAAAAAGAGATGGAGGAGGAAAGGAGAGGACGAGGCCAAGGGATGGACGTGGAAGGGGCTGGGAAGAGTTGGGGTGAAAGGCACAAGGATAGTGAAATTGGGATGCTGCTGGCTTCCTGTTGTTTGTTTCACGGTCAGGCACAGTGTGTTGGTCTGGCGACATTTTCATCATCATCTGCCCTGTCCACCCCCTTGTGGTCCCTCCTCAGGCCCCTGAAACACACTGATGCCACCTGTTCACTCAACTTTCTGTCCTTTCCCATCTCCAGGTTCTCCATCACCTCCTTCACCCTCCCACCCCCCATCAGCCAGTCCCCTTTTATTATTATTTATTTATTTATTTTCTGGGTTTTTTTTGAGACAGAGTCTCGCTCTGTCACCCAGGCTGGAGTGCAGTGGTGCGATCTTGGCTCACTGCAACCTCCGCCTCCCAGGTTCAAGCAATTCTCTGCCTCAGTCTCCCAAGTAGCTGGGACTACAGGCGCCCGCCACCACGCCCAGCTAATTTTTTGTATTTTTAGTAGAGACGGGGTTTCACCATCTTGGCCAGGCTGGTCTTGAGCTCCTGACCTTGTGATCCCCCGCCTCAGTCTCCCAAAGTGCTGGGATTACAGGTGTGAGCCACTGCGCCCAGCCCCCTTTTATTTTTATTTTTATTTTGTTTTTGAGAGGGAGTCTTGCTCTGTCATCCAGGCTGGAGTGCAGTGGCATGATCTCGGCTCACTGCAACCTCCACCTCCTGGGCTCAAGCGATTCTCCTGCCTCAGCCTCCCGAGTAGCTGGGCTACCTAGTAGCCCACCCACACCCAGCTAATTTTTGTATTTTTAGTAGAGACAGGGTTTCACTGTGTTGGCCAGGCTCATCTCAAACTCCTGACCTCAGGTGATCTGCCCGCCTCAGCCTCCCAAAGTGCTGGGATTACAGGCATGAACCACTGTGCCCGGCCTCCCTTTTATTTATTTATTTATTTATTTATTTATTTATTTATTTATTTCAGACAGGAGCTTGCTCTGTGTTCCAGGCTGGAGTGCAGAGACTCAATATCGTAGCTCACTGCAACCTACTGGGCCAGATCCTGAAGGCCTCCTCTGCGTGTTAAGGAGCTTGGACTATTCCAAGCAGAGACTGTTCTCTCTGTAAGAGTGATCCTACCACCTCAGCCTCCCAAGTAGCTGGGACTACAGGCACGTGTTCTCGCACTCGGCTAATTGTTTTATTTTTTTTGTAGAGACAGGGTCTCACTGTGTTGCCCAGACTGGTCCTGAACTCCTGGCCTCAAGTCATTCTCCCGCCTCAGCCTCCCAAAATGCTGGGATTTCAGGCGTGAAATGCCATGCCTGGCCTAGCAAATCCTCTTATTCTGCATCTGGCCTTCCACTTTTCTCTATCCCCTTGGCCAAGCTGGGAGCCTCAGAATGTAGCTGTGCAGAGGCGCTGCTGGCCCCAGACCAGAGAGTGGGAGACAGCGTGGATGGTCACTCTGTGGATGCTCTGGGGCTCTTACTTCTGTCTTCTTGGGAGGCCACACATGTACTTTGGGGGGCTGTTCCGGTTCCCGGCTCTGAGTCTAGCCAGGCGCTGCAACAATCCCCTCCACTGCCTGCCCATCTGCACCAGCCCCTTGCTTTCCTGTCTTGTCACTTGCCTTAGGATAAACCCACAGCCTACGAGGCCCCCTGGGTTTGGCCTCATCTGGCACCGTGTTCCCCCTCACTCTTGTGCTCTGTCCACGGAGCTGGATCGGATGCCCTCACCTTCGCCCTGCACCTGCCTGCCTCCAGACCTTTGCAGAGACCATTCTGTCTGCCTGGAATGCATTTCCTCCCACTCTTCACAAGGCCAAGGCTCTCCTCCTTCAACTCAAACATCATTCCCTCAGGGAACCCTTCCCGGAGCCGGAGCCGGAGCCGGAGCCGGCCAGGATCAGTCCCCACCGTCAGCACTCACAGCTGCAGGCTGTTGACCTTCAGAGCTCTGCGTTTCATTACAGTCAGCATTTTCCTGGGTGTTTGTTGAATATCTGTCTCCATTTGTAGATACGAAACTCCTCAGGGCAGGGGCCAGGTCTGTCTTCACTGGGTATACCCAGTGACTAGAAGAGTACCTGGCCTATGGTAGGTGCCCAGTAAACATTTCTTGATTTACTGAGCCTTTCAATTCCCAACACTCCACAACTCCACACCCCTGCACGCCTTCCTCTATCTGGTCAGTGCTCAGTGCTTCGTTCTTTTTTTTTTTTCTTCTAATACAGAGTTTTGCTCTTGTTGCCCAGGCTGGAGTGCAATGGCACAATCTCAGCTCACTGCAACCTCTGCCTCCCGGGTTCCAGCAATTCTCCTGCCTCAGCCTCCGGAGTAGCTGGGATTACAGGCGCGTGCCACCACGCCCGGCTAATTTTTGTATTTTTAGTAGAGACAGGGTTTCACCATGTTGGCCAAAATGGTTTTGATCTCCTGATCTCGAGATCCATCCGCCTCGGCCTCCCAAAGTGCTGGGATTACAGGCGTGAGACACTACGCCAGGCCTCATTCTCCATTCTTATCACCCTGCCCCCCAGACAGTCGTGCTAATAGTTTTGTGTGTGCGTTCTTGGAAAATGTGTGTTTTCCGTGTCATCATTTCGTGCAAGTGGCTTTGTGCTTTAGATCTCATTCCATTTCTTCCTCTTGCCTCTCAGCACGAGATTTCTAAGTCCCCCATGTGGCTCTGTGTCCACCGGGTCCTCCACACATTCTGCTGATCCGCCTTCCAGTGAGGAACCCCAGGCTGGATCCAACCCCTCCTCCTGCCTTCCCCACACGGTCACATGGGAGGATCTCTGTGTGTTGTGTGTGTGTGTGTGTGTGTGTGTGTGTGTGTGTGTGTGTGTTTGGGGGCAGTTATATGTTCAGGGCAACATTTCCAGGTCATAGGGCATGTGTGTATATACTTAGCTGAATGCTCCTAGACTTCGCTGGGACAGCTTCAGCCCCCAGTCCAGGAGAGCCTCTCGTCTCCTTGCCAGCACCTGGAGTTCTCCAGCTTTTTTTTTTTTTTTTTTTTGAGACGGAGTCTCTCTCTGTCACCCAGGCTGGAGTGCAGTGGGACGATCTCAGCTCACTGCAAGCTCCGCCTCCTGGGTTCACGCCATTCTCCTGCCTCAGCCTCCTGAGTAGCTGAGATTACAGGTGTGCACCACCATGCCTGGTTAATTTTTGTATTTTTAGTAGAGACGGGGTTTCACCCTACTGGTCAGGCTGGTCTTGAACTCCTGACCTCGTGATCTGCCCTCCTTGGCCTCCCAAAATGCTGGGATTACAGGCTTGAGTCACCATGCCTGGCTAATTTTTGTACTTTTAGTGGAGACGGGGTTTCACCATGTTGCCCAGGCTGGTCTCGAAATCCTGACCTCAGGTGATCTGCCTGCCTTGGCATCCCAAAGTGCTGGGATTACAGGTGTGAGCCACCATGCCCGGCCTTTTTTTTTTTTTTTTTTTTTTTTTTTTTTTAAATACCGAGTTTTGCTCGTGTTGCCCAGGCTGGAGTGCAATGGTGCAATCTCAGCTCACTGCAACCTCTGCCTCCTGAGTTCAAGCGATTCTCCTGCCTCAGCCTCCCGAGTAGCTGGGACTACAGGCGCCCGCCACCGCGCCCGGCTAATTTTTTGTATTTTTAGTAGAGATGGGGTTTCACTGTCAGCCAGGATGGTCTCGATCTCCTGACCTCGCGATATGCCCGCCTCGGCCTCCCAAAGTGCCGGGATTACAGGTGTGAGCCACCGCGCCCGGCCCATTCTCTGACTTTCTCACTTGCCAGTCTGGTAGGTAGGAAGTGAGAGCACACCTAAGATTATTCTCGAGTCTCCAGATCTCCTCCAGTGCTTCTTAGCCTCTGGGTCTCCTCCTCAGTCAATTACCTGGTTGCACACTGTCCTTATTTGTGTTTCGAGGTGCCCGTCTTCTTTCGGAGTTGCAGGAGTTCCTTAGATATTGGTCCCTTGTCTCCCATGTTGTCCCCCACACAGTATTGGGGAATCCTGGTTTATAAGCAGACACCCCCAGCCTGGAGGTCCCTCAAGGGCAGTAACAGTCCCGAGCTGTCCCTGCGACTCCATCCTGACATCAGGGCTGGGCCACCGGGTCAGAGGATGAGAAGGGGTTGCCGGACCCCCTACAGACACTCTGGGGCTCATGGTTGCAGTCCCCTCAGGAGGCAACATGGATATTTTGGGAGCATTGTCTCAGGTCCTGAGAGTTTTTTGGAGCCTCTCTGAGATCAGCTCAGCAGCCTGGGATTTGAATTCTGAATTTGGGAAATTTATTCAACATGTCTTTTTTCCATGAACGTCTATGGAGCACGGACTATTAGGCAGACACCATTGTAGACATTGGCGGCGCAGCCCTTGGCTTCTCAGAGCTCACCTTTTGGTGGGAGCCAGTAAAGAGTGAACAAATAAGATCATCGCAAAGAAAACAAACGTCTAAAATATGGAATAACAGAGAGAGGACTTTGGCCAGGGTGATCAGGGGAGGCCAATCTTAGGAGCTGACTTTTATTCTGAGAGCCAGAAGAGCCAGGTGAAGATAGTGGCCAGTGCAAATGCCCTGGGGTGCTAGTGGGCTTGGGACAAGGGAGACACAGAAAGGTCATGGGGCTGGAGGCTAGACAGGGGAGGGGCGAGTAAGGAGCTTGGCAGTGGTCAGGGACCCATTCAGGCTGTGTCAGGTGGTTCTCTATTTGGGCTTGGGCTGCTGTGTGACGTGGGCAGCAGGATGGTTTGGCCTGAATGTGACTGCCTAGGAGGGTACTGGGCCCTGGAGTTTGTGAACTGGCTCTGGGGTGGCCGAAGCTTTGGGCCAGGCAGCTCTGGCAACTGTTCTGTACCCAGAGGGAATACTTTTCTTCCTTAATGTTTTTTTCTTTTCATTTTTCTCTCTCTCTTTTTTTTTTTTTTTTGAGATGGAGTCTGATCTGTCACCCAGGCTGGAGTGCAGTGGCGCGATCTCGGCTCACTGCAAGCTCCGCCTCCCGGGTTCACACCATTCTCCTGCCTCAGCCTCCTGAGTAGCTGGGACTACAGGCGCCCGCCACCACGCCCGGCTAATTTTTTGTATTTTTAGTAGAGACAGCGTTTCACCGTGTTAGCCAGGATGGTCTCGATCTCCTGACCTCGTGATCCACCCACCTCGGCCTCCCAAAGTGCTGGGATTACAGGCGTGAGCCACCGCGCCCAGCCTTTTTTTTTTTGAGACGGAGTCTCTCGCTCTGTCACCAGGCTGGAGTGCAGTGGCGTAATCTCAGCTCACTGCAATCTCCGCCTCCTGGGTTCAAGCGATTCTCCTGCCTCAGCCTCCTGAGTAGCTGGGATTACAGGCACGTGCCACCACACTCAGGTAAGTTTTGTATTTTTAGTATAGACAGGGTTTCACCATGTTGGCCAAGATGGTCTTGATCTCCTAACCTCGTGATCCTCCCGCCTTGGCCTCCCAAAGTGCTGGGATTACAGGTGTGAGTCACTGTGCCCAGCCTCTTTTCATTTCTCTTTTTGGAAACATTTTTCCTCTTTGTGATAGGTAATACATGTACCAGGTACAAAAATCAAAGGAAACAAAGGCATATACAGTGTAAGGTCCTTTCCTGCCCTCACCCCAGCCACCTACTTCCCCTCCTGGGAAGGGAACCAACTATTGTGCCTGCTTGCCATCCCCAAGCGGTTGCATTCCTGCAAACTCAGGTTCACAGTTCACACCGATGCAGGCGCACGCCACACACTGCCCGTGCCTCGAATTTTCCACTTAGCAGTGTAAGGCGGAGACAGTTCCCAATGAGTCCACTTAGGAGTCCTGAAGGGTTCCAGGGGGGCCTGGAGGCTCCAGAACTACAAGGAGCCCACAGCATGTGCCTTGGGCCGGTGGTGAGGTCAATAGGGCCATGTCAGGCTGCGCCCCCGAGTACCAGCGCGAGAACGTGAGGCTGGCACTGGGGGCCCCGGAAAGGGCTGGCGCTGTGGAATGTGAGCAGTGGCAGGGATGGAGAGGATGTGGGGAAAGCTGGGTGAGTTCAGCTGTTGGCGATTTCACGCCCCCTCCTCAACCACTTCTCAGGGACGGGCCCCAGCCGTGGGGCCCAGGTGCCGACGAAGGTCAAATTTCGATAGCAAGAGAGTAAAAAGGATATTTCCTCCAGAGGGAAGCACTCTCCCCGCAGTGGGAGCTGCAGCTGCCCCACACTCATCCTCCAGGATTAGGCCAAATCCCACAGCAGGCGGAGGGGTGGGGGGTCCCCAGTTAGGGCCCGGGGAATGTGGGAAGGGGTGGGCAGTACGGGGTGGACTGTACACACCTGACTGTGCCTGGACCTGGGAATGGGTCTCCTTCTTCCCTTCATTCAGCAAACACTTTGCTGCACCCCAGTTCTACCAGGCGTTGACCTGGGTGGGGATTTTGCGGGGAGGAGCAAGACTGGTAACAGCTGAACTGGATTGAGGGCCACACAGCATGCGATGGGGGCCGTGCAAGGAGACCCAGGAAATGATGGCGGTTTCTGCTGGGGAGGGAGACAGTGAGAGCAGGGGGTGGGGGGAGTTGCTTTTCAGTGAAAACCTTTCTGTACCATTGGAATTGCTTTTTAATTGTTGAAACTAGGTACATTTATTGACTTCTTTAAAACTGTGGTTCTCGGCCAGGCAAGGTGGCTCATGCCTGTGATCCCAGCACTTTAGGAGGCCGAGGCGGGTGGATCACCTGAGGTCAGGAGTTTGAGACCAGCCTGGCCAACATGGTGAAACCCCATCTCTACTAAAAATACAAAATTTAGCCAGACATGGTGGCACACACCTGTAATCCCAGCTACTTGGGAGGCTGAGGCAGGAGAATCGCTTGAAACCAGGAGGCAGAGGTTTCAGTGAGCTGAGATTGCGCCACTGCACTCCAGCCTGGGCAACAGAGTGAGACTCTGTCTCAAAACAAAACAAAACTAAAGCCGAGGCAGGCAGATTACTTGAGGTCAGGAGTTCGAGACCAGCCTGGCCAACACAGTGGAGCCCTGTCTTTACTAAAAATTCAAAAATTAGCTGGGCGTGGTAGCGCACGCCTGTAATCCCAGCTACTCGGGAGGCTGAGCCGAGAGAATCTGAGACTTTATCTCAAAAAACAAAACTAAACTAAACGATAGTTCTCAAAGTGTGACCCCCACTCCTTCCCCAGATCAGCAGCATCTGGGTAGCAATGCAAATTCCCAGATTCCACCCCAGACCCACTAAATACACAATTCTGGGGGGTAGGGTGTCCAGCATACAAGCCCACTAGATAACTCTGACATCTGCTACATCTTCAGAGCTACTGATTTAAAAAACACAACCAAGCCAGGTGCGGTGGCTCACGCCTGTAATCCCAACACTTTGGGAGGCCGAGGAGGGCAGATCACCTGAGGTTGTGAGTTCGAGACCAGCCTGACCAACGTGGAGAAACCTCGTCTCCCAGGCATGGTGGTGCATGCCTGTAATCCCAGCTACTTGGGAGGCTGACGCAGAAGAATCGCTTGAACCTGGGAGGCGGAGGTTGTAGTGAGCCAAGATCATGCCATTGCACTCCAGCCTGGGTGACAAGAGTGAAACTCCGTCTCAAAAAACAAAAACAAAAACAACAACAAAACACAACCAAAGCAGAACTTGCGTCTTGGTGCTCACAGTCTGGGGGAAGGAGACTATTCAGAGCATCCCTCTACTACAGAGACAGCCGCCAGAGCCTGTGAATGGGGCCCAGCCTGGAAGCCGACCTGGAATGGAGGACCTGAGGAGGCTGCCCAAGAATTGAGGCTTGAGTGACATCTGAAGGGCAAGTGGGTCTCAGCCACGTGGGAGGCGGTAGGAAGTGTGTCCCCGGGAGGTGGTAGGAAGAGTGTCCCCAGGAAGGAGTGGCCCATGGGAGGGGACTGAAGGGGCAGGGACCGAATGCCATGGGGCTGGAGGCAGGAGCACTGAGACAGGCACCTCTGTGCTTGGGTGTGGTGACTGTCCATCCACCCCTGTGTGTGCACATCTCAGTCACAGACATCCCCTGCTTCATGCACACCCAGAGCCTCTCCTGACCCTCAGAACTGCCGGGCTGACTAGGCTGTGGGAGTGGGCTCTTCCGTGGGACAGGCAGCGCACCTGGCCCTGAGCAACAACTTTCTCACTTTCCCCCCCTGTGACCCTGGGCCAGTCACTTCCACCTTCAGAGCCTCAGTGTCCACATCTGGAAAATGGGGCAAGAATGCCTTTGTGGAAGGGCTGCCAGGAGAAGGAAATGAGATCATGGCACCTGCACAGTAATCCACCCCTGGAAGCCATTCCTTCCTGATCTCTGTGCAGCAACAGCTGTTGTTTACAGAGCAGTAGAAACCATGCTCTGAGGTGGGTGTCATCATTCCTATGTGACTGGTTGGAAAAAGGAGGCTCAGAGAGAGTAATTTTGGTCATACAGGTTGAGCATCCCTAATTCAAAAATCTGAAACCTGAAATGGTCCAAAATCTGAAACTTTTTGAGCACTGACATGATGCCACAGTGGAAAATTCCACACCTGACATATTTGCTTTTCGTTTCTTTTCTTTCTTTCTTTCTTTTTTTTTTTTTGAGACGGAGTCTTTCTCTATTGTCCAGGCTGGAGTGCAGTGGAGCAATCATAGCTTACTGCAGCCTCGAACTCCTCGGCTCAAATGATCCTCCCTCAGCCTCCCAAGTAGCTGAGACTACAAGTGTGCACCACCACACCCGGCTACTTTTTTATTTTTTGTGGAGATGGGGTTTTGCCACGTTGTCCAGGCTGGTCTCAAACTCCTGGGCTCAAGTGATCCTCCTGTCTCAGCCTCCCAAAGTGCTAGGATCACAGGCATGAGCCACCGTACCTGGCTTTTTTTTTTTTTTTTGAGACAAGCTCTCACTCTGTCACCCAGGCTGAGTGCAATGGCGCAGTCTTGGCTCAGTGCAACCTCCTGGCTCAATCAATGTTCCTGCCTCAGCCTCCCGAGTAGCTGGAATTACAGGCAACCACCACCATGCTCGGCTAATTTTTGTTTTTGTTTTTGTTTTTTTTTTGAGATGGAGTCTCTCTCTGTCACCCAGGCTGGAGTGCAATGGTGTGATCTCCGCTCACTGCAGCCTCTACCTCCTGGGTTCAAGCAATTCTTCCACCTCAGCCTCCCAAGTAGCTAGGATTACAGGGGCGCGCCACCATGCCCAGCTAATTTTTGTATTTTTAGTAGAGATGGGTTTTCACCATGTTGGCTGGGTTCGTCTCAAACTCCTGACCTCAGGTGATCCACCTGCCTCGGCCTACCAAACTGCTGGGATTACAGGCGTGAGCCACTGTGCCTGGCTGGCCAATTTTTGTATTTTTTTGTAGAGATGGGGGTTTCACCATTTTGCTCAGGCTGGTCTTGAACCCCTGAGCTCAGGTGATTCACCGGCTTTGGCCTCCCAAAGTGCTGGGATTATAGGTGTGAGCCGCCACGCCCGGCCCCCTACTGTGCTGATGGTTCGGTATACACAAACTTTGTTTCATGCTCAAAATTATTTAAAATATTGTATAAAATTACCTTTAGGTTATGTATACAAGGTGTATGTGAAACATAAATTTTGAATTAGAAACATTTTGTATATGAAACATGAATTTTGTGTTTAGATGTAGGTCCTGTTTCTAAGATTACAAACTCTGAAAAATCTGAAATCTGAAACACTTCTGGTCCCAAGCATCTCAAATGGAGGCTACTCAGCCTGCAGCCCCTCCCCTCCACCGTGCGCCTCCCCCTCCCTCCCAGGTGCTGACTCCCCAGCCAGCAGCCTCCATCCCTTGGCTAGGGCTTCCCAAGTCAGAGTCACTGTCTTGATGCCACCAGAACCCTGCCTTATGTACAAAGCCAGCAAGAGGCAGAGTGCAGAGGTGGGCTCAGTGCTTTTTCTTTTCTTTTTTGAGATGGAGTTTCGCTCTTGTTGCCCAGGCTGGAGTGCAGTGGCTCAATCTCGGCTCACTGCAACCTCCGCCTCCCGGATTCAAGTGATTCTTCTGTGTCAGCCTCCCAAGTAGCTGGGATTACAGGCGCCCACCACCACGCCCGGCTAATTTTTGTATTTTTAGTAGAGACAGGGTTTCACCATGTTGGGCAGGCTGGTCTGGAACTCTTGACTTTAGGTGATCCGGCCGGCTCGGCTACCCAAAGGCTGGGATTACAGGCATGAGCCACCTCTCCCGGCCTTCTTTTTTTTTCTTTTGGGACGGAGTCTCCCTCTGTCACCCAGGCTGGAGCACAGTGGTGCAATCTTGGGTCACTGCAACCTCCACTTCCCAGGTTCAAGCGATTCTCCTGCCTCAGCCACCCAAGTAGCTGAGACTACAGGTGCCCGCCACCACGCCCGGCTAATTTTTGTATTTTCAGTAGAGTCAGGGTTTCACCATGTTGGCCAGGCTGGTCTCGAACTCCTGACCTCGGGTGATCCGCCTGCCTCAGCCTCCCAAAGTGTTGAGATTTCAGGGGTGAGCCACTGTGCCTGTCCTCAGTGCTTTCTTTTCTTTCTTTTTTTTTTTTTCTCTTGAGCCGGAGTCTTGCTCTGTCGCCCAGGCTGGAGTGCAGTGGTGCCATCTCCGCTCACTGCAAGCTCCGCCTCCTGGGTTCATGCCATTCTCCTGCCTCAGCCTCCCAAGTAGCTGGGACTACAGGCACCCACCATGCCCGGCTAATTTTTTGTATTTTTAGTAGAGACGGGGTTTCACCATGTTAGCCGGGATGGTCTCGATCTCCTGACCTCGTGATCCATCCACCTCAGCCTCCCAAAGTGCTGGGATTACAGGCGTGAGCCACTGTGCCTGGCCCGGCCTCAGTGCTTTTTCTATGGGCCCCTGTCACAGGCTAGAACCCAGGCAGACCAGGGAGGCCAGGCCCCAGCTGCTGCCATGCTGCCGGGAGCGGGGAGGGGAGGGCAGAGAGCTGGAGCATCAGAGCTCGCATAGGGGAATTAGCAGTATATGTGTCATTCTGACATGGGACATCAGGAATGTGGAATGGCCCCAGGAAGCGTGTGCCTGCCAGGGACGCTGGCAGGGAGGGGGTGCAGGGTGGGCAGCTGAGCCCCTCCCGGCCCCCAGGACCCACCAGGCAGCAGCTGCCCCTGTCACTCTGAGTGACCTGGGTCTGGTCTCCAATGTGCACATGGCCTTCTGGGAACCTGGGGTTCAGCCTAGCTCCTTCCTGGAGCCCCATTCTTGTGACCCTGGACCTCAGTTTCTCCATCGTTAAATGGGAAGAACAATCTTTATTTGGCAAGGCTGTGGCAGGGGAGAGCGTGGTTGGTTGAGCCTGGCACCGCAGCAGGCTCATGGTGGGAAATTGGAAAATGGGGCTGTTGTTCCACATCCCCTTAGAATACTGTCCTCACACACGATTCTAATCTCCCAGTCCTCTCCTTCCCAAGGTCAGGTCCAAGGGATCTGCTTCTCCTGTGATTGGCTGGACAGGCGGACACAGTCAGTGGACAGTGACCCCCCAATGGGAGGCTATACATTGGAGAGAGGGGCTCAGTCAGAATGTCCAGTGGCTTGGGAACCTTGGGAGGCCAAGGTGGGAGGATTGCTTGAGGCCAGGAGTTTGAGACCAGCTTGGACAACATAGCAAAACCCCATCTCTACAAAAACTAAAAAATAATTATCCATGTATGGTGGCATGCACCTGTAGTCCTACACACTTGGCAGGCTGAGGTGGGAGGGTTGCTTGAGCCCAGGAGTTTGAGGCAGCAGAGCCATGACCATGGCATTACTGCACTCCAATCCGGGCAACAGATCAAGACCTTGTCTCAAAAAAAAAAAAAGAAAAAGAAAGAAAGAGAGAGAAAGAAAGAAAGAAGAGAGAGAAAAAGAGAGGGAGAGAGAGAGAGGAAGGAAGGAAGGGAGGGAGGGAGGGAGGGAGGAGAGAGAGAAAGAGAGAAAGGAAGACAGAGAGGGGAGGGAAGGAGCAAAAGGAAAGGAAAGGAAGGAAGGAAAAGAAAGAGAAAAAGAAAGAAAGAGAGAGAGGGAGGGAAGAAGGAAGGAAGGAAGGAAGAAAAGAAGGAAGGAAGGAAGGAAAAAGAAAGTTGGTCAGTCTGGGGGCTTTCGGGAGTTAGTGGGGGTCTTTGAGAGCAGGAGGGAGCATAAACCCAGTCTGCTTTTGGAAGCTACCTCTGGAGCCACCTGCAGGGGAGGGAGCAAAAGGGAGGCTGGATACCTAGGGCTCGGAGGGGGGCACTCAGGGACACAAAAGCCCCAGCACCGGCTCCCAGGGAAGCACCGCAGCCCAACCCATGGGCCTCCGCATCACACCCTCCCCCAAGCCTATGTGCATCTGCACGTGCTTCCTCCTAAACCCTACGCCCCAGGAGGCAGGCGGGACAGGTGCACCCTACTCATGGGCAAAGACAGTATTATCAGAGAGGTGGCAGTGCTGGCCTCAGGAGCCACGCTGGACCGTGGAAGCGCATGAGGGAATAGGGTTGTTTTTTTTTTTTTTTTGCGACAGAGCCTTGCTCCCTAGCCCAGGCTGGCACGATCTCGGTTCACTGCAACCCTCGCCTCCCAGATTCAAATGATTCTCCTGCCTCAGCCTCCTGAGTAGCTGGGACTACAGGTGTGCCCCACTATGCCCGGCTAATTTTTGTATTTTTTAGTAGAGACAGGGTTTTGCCATGTTGTCCAGAATGGTCTCGAATTCTTGACCTCAGGTGATCCGCCCGCCTCGGCCTCCCAAAGTGCTGGGATTACAGGGGTGAGCTGCCGCACCTGGCCTGGAACAGGGTTCTTGAGGGAAGTAGTCAGGTGACTCCCTGGTTCCTGCCCTGGAGGAGGTACAGTTCTGGGGGTAAGATGAGTTCTGTGTGGGATACCGTCAGCTGGAGAGGCTATGCTGAGAGCTGGGAGGAGCCCAGAGTGAGGATAAACAATCATGAGCTGACGCTCAGTCTTCCAAGGAGGCCCCAGCCTCCAATCCCTCTGTCTGACCCCTCTGACCGCATATGCATTTTCAGCCACCACTCCCTGGGGGCAGACGGGGGCAATCCCGATGGCCTCCATGAAGGCTGTCCTGGTTGGGCAGTCCTGTCCCAGCCTGAGGCCTGTAAGGAAAAGGACAGGAGAGTGCCAAGTGCTGGGTCAGACACCATGCCTGGGCCCCCCATGGCCCACTCAAGGCTCAGGGGCTGGGGAGTAGCAGTACGTGCCAGGATGGGGCCAGGGAAGGAGGTTCCAGGCTCAGAGCCTTGAGAAGCTGCTCACTCTGAGGAGCTCTGAGTACAGGGCTGTGACGGCTCCTCAGTGGAAGACCAGGCAGGCAGGGACAGCTGCAGCCCAGGCGGGCGGCAACCAGCTGCTGCCCGGGAGACTGGCCAGGGCGGGGCGGGCATGGCCTCCACAAGCCCCCAGCCTGAGCCGGCAGAGCGTGGGAGCGGGCCGCGGCCTAAGGCTGGCTCTCAGATTTTCATGCTGTGTTAACGGTCAGCTTGGTTAATGCTGAGCAGATGGGGGAGGGGGGCTGCCAGCTCCCTTGGGGACAGCTGCAGGGCACACATGCACACACACACATGTGCAGAGGGTACAGGAGTCCCACCGTGTATAGTGCAATGCGGACTCAGCCCATTAATACTCATTCACACTGTCGCAGACACAAGATGGGGCTGGTGGGACAGGCGGACCCAGATAGGCACACACTGGCTCCTGGGGCAGTGGAGGTGGCGGAGCCCATGGCCTGGTCCAGTGCCCTCAGTCCGTGTCCTGTAGGCAGAACTCTGCTGGAGGGATCCCTCCACCTCACCCCACTCCATGTTGCTCAGGGAAGACCCAGGCACACAGAGCTTTATTTCAAAAAAATAATTTATAAAACGCCATTTGCTCCTGTTTTCGGCAGGCTTCCAGCTTCTCTGGGCTCAGGGGCCAATGCTCCCGTCAAGACGCTGGGGCAGCAGCAGCAGGGGGAGGTGTGGGGAAAGGGGGTTCAGAGGCCCAGAACCTCCTGCTGGTATTGGGAGGCAGGAGGTTTAGCATAGCAGCTCTCCAGCCAGGCTCAGCCAAACCCGGGATGGGGACTAAGCGCCAAGGTCCAAGAAGCCGAGCAGAACCCTGACATTTGGGCCATCAGGACACAGGCACGGCAGCTCCAAGGGCAAGGGCACGGCCCTTGGACACGGCACAGCAACTCTGGGCCAGGGGCCCCATGCTATCAAGGTCGAGCACTGTGTCAGGCTGTGGCTGAGCCCCAAGGCCCAAGGCCACCAGCCTATGTGCCTGCACAGCCTTGAGCCTTGCTCATGTCTGCACCCCAGACCCGAAGGGGAAGGAGCTGGATCCCAATGGCAGGGGGTCGTGGCTGAAGACAGAATCGCTGGAGGAGCAGGTGCTGCTGGCGTCCCCACCAGAGGGGGAATAGGGTCCGAAGGTCAGGCGGAGGTCGAGGTACTGTGGGGAACGGAGCTGGTCAGCCTCTGCAGCGCCCGGGATGGGACGGGGCGCATGTCCACGCGGTCAGGCCAGATGAGGCCTGGAGGGGAGCAGGCAGAGGGAGGTGGTGGGTGGGAGGGGCTGTACCTCCTCAGAGACGGCCAGCAGGACCTTGTCCAGCGCCTCCACCAGCTGCTTGAAGGTAGGCCTCTGGGAGGGCGCTGCGTGCCAGCACTCACGCATCAGCCCGTACCTGCGAGAGGTGGGGCGGAGGGTCACAGGGAGCCTCAGGCCTTCAGGAGGAAGGGGAGGACCGGGGGTTCTCTGGGTGGGGAGGAGTTTGGTGGGGAGTTTGATGAGGGATAGGAGGGTCATCAGTAGAAGCCAGGCCAGGACACTCCACTAGGCTGAGGAGGAGGAAGAGGAGGAGGAGGAAGAGGAGCAGGAGGAGGAGGAGGAAGAGAAGGAGGAGGAAGAGAAGGAGGAGGAAGAGGAGCAGGAGGAGAAGGAGGAAGAGGAGGAGGAGGAAGAGGAGGAGGAGGAAGAGGAGGAGGAGGAAGAGAAGGAGGAGGAAGAGGAGCAGGAGGAGAAGGAGGAAGAGGAGGAGGAGGAAGAGGAGGAGGAGGAAGAGGAGGAGGAAGAGGAGGAGGAGGAAGAGGAGGAGGAGGAAGAGGAAGAGGAGGAGGAGGACGAGGAGTTGTTGTTAGTGTTGTCCTTCTGGCCGGGACACACCCTGAGGCCATGGTCAGGGCAGAGGAGGAGGAGGACTGGAAAGTGGGGTCGAGGGCAGGGTGAGGCCTCACAGCTCTGGGGGGCAGTGTGGGGGTCGGTCCATCCGATGTCCCTCCCGCAGCAGCGAGAACAGCTCCTCCACCGGGATGCCAGGATACGGGGAGCCCCCGAGGGTGAAGATCTCCCATAGCAGGATCCCAAAAGACCACCTGGAGGTAGGGCCAGGGCTCAGTGTGGCTCAGCGCCCTCCCGACGACCGGGGCTAGGACGGGGGACCCCACAGACATGACCCACCACAGCTGTTGGGGAATGGGCTCCTCCTGGAGTCTGGGCCCACTCGGGTCCCAGACCAAATCTGAAGGAGCCCTCGAGCGCATGACTCCTGGGGCCACGTGACTTTGGGCAGTGCCTTGCCCTTTTTGTGGGGTAGGACAGTGACCGCCGGCAGGACTCACACGTCACTCTGGTGTGTGTACACCCGGTCAAACAAGGCCTCGGGCGCCATCCACTTCACAGGCAGGCGGCCCTGGAGGGGAGAGAGGGCCTCAGTGCAGAGTCCCACAGGTCCTCGTGCCTGCCACCCCGGGCCCAGTGCCCCTCCACCCCCATCCAGTTCTGCCCCATCTCCCTCACGTTGCTGGTTTTCTTATAGTAGTCAATGTGGTGGACGCCGCGGGCCAGCCCAAAGTCAGCAATCTTCATCACATTGTCCTCAGTCACCAGCACATTGCGGGCAGCCAGGTCCCGGTGGATACACTGCAGGGAGCGGGGGCTTGGGTGCCTCAGGACACCTGGCCTGGAGTTGAGCACACACCACCCCCCAGCAGGCCCGGGGGCAGGGGCCCTCCACCCACTTTACAGAGGAGGAGGTCAAGGTTTAGAAACGGGGAGTGCCTTCTCCTGCGTCCCCTCTCCCCTCTGGGGAAGGGTGAGGAACGAGTGGGGAATGCAGGAAAGCGTGAATGCCTGGGGACACTGAGGTGGGGTCATGAAAAAGAGCAGAGAGGGAGAAGTCGGGACATTGAATGCCACAGGCCTGAGAGTGGAGCTGGAGAGACTGAGAGGGGCTCAGAGCCCTAGCGCCTGTACCTTCCGGGACTCCAGATACTGCATGCCTCGGGCCACCTGGTAGGCGCAGGAGACCAGGACTGGGAAGGAGAGCGGCCCCTCACTGCTCCGAGGACCGTCGGGGCTGAGGTCGGGGCCTGGGGGGCGCCGGGCCCGCAGGAACTCCCGCAGGTTTCCCTTGGCGGCGCACTCCACGATCACGTACAGGGGCCCTGCAGAGGGAGTGGAGGGAGCGTGGAGAGGCTGCCAAAGCTTTGGCTCTGCACCCTAACGGCCCGTGCAGCCAGCCCCGCCTCGGCCCCACCTTCCTGGGTGCAGACACCAAGCAGGTTGATGATGTTCTTGTGTCGGCCGATCAGCTTCATCACCTCCATCTCCGAGACCAGGTCGGCCAGGTCCTTGTCAGAGGCGTTGTCTGTAAGGGCAGCAGACGGGGTGAAGAGGCTGCCCTCCAACTGCACGAGGGAGCATGCAGAGGCAGGTGCAGGACAAGCAGCACTGGACCAGGGCTACGTAGGTCTAGGGCTGAATCCTTGCTAGGCTGTGTGGCCTTGAAAAAGTCTCCTAGCGTCTCTGAACCTCAGGTTCGTCTTGTGGGAAACAGAGCAGTGGGTCACACCCTGCCTGTCACAGCAGTTGCAAGGATGCAACTGTATCAAGGATCTAAGAGGCAGGCCTTCCAGCGGGCAGGCCCAGGACACAGGAGAGAGGGGAAGAGCTCGGAGCAGGAAGGAAGGAAGGAAGCTGCCGCTGGAGGGGTCAGCGGTAGTCCCCGCATGGGGTCAGAGCTTCTGGGTGCGGAAAGCAGGCTGGCGCCCTGGGGTCTGTTTGACCAGGGCCTGGCTTCCAACTGGCCTGGGAATTCAGGGAGCTGGCGGCAGGCCGGGTGCAGCCGGGGAGCTTGGGAAGAAGGCTGCTTTGGCTTCTCTGGCTGAGCCCCTGGGGCTGACCTGTGGCCCTGGGCCAATGACACAATGTGCATTTCTCAATCCCTGCCTCCCAGGGAGCACCAGGTGGCCCCAGCTGTGTAGAGAGGAGGGGAGGAGCAGAAGAGCAGTGGAGGCCATTCTTGCAGAGGGGGCTGGGGAACTGCAAGGAGAGGCCCTGATGGGTGGGGTGCAGGAGTGCCCAGCAAGAGCACCCCGGGGCTGGGCCTGGGTGCAAGCAGAAGGGCTGTCCTCCTACAGCAGTGGACGTGGGGGGCAGACCTAGGGAGGGTCCAAGGGAGGCTGAGGGTGTGTCTGGGGGGAACCATAAGGAAGGAGGTAGAGGGCCTGTGAGGCTGACAAGGAGATGTGAAGTCAAAGCTGACACAGACTAATGCTGACACAGGATATCAAGCCTGTCACACCAAATTCTTCTCATCATCATCACCCCAGTGGTGAAGATTTATTGAGCCCTGACTATGAGCCAGGCACTTTCCACAATCCTTGGGCTGGGAGTAGGGACTGTTATCTACCCCATATGACACAAGGGAAAACTGAGGCTCAGAAGTCACTTGCCAGGGTCAGGAGCAGAGGTGAATTGCAGGTTTAAGGGTGGGATCCCACAGCCTCTCCCAGCTCCAGGGCTCACCTGGTGGCACCGTGAGCCCCTTCTATTAGTCCCAATGCCATAGCACCTCCTCCAGGCTGCCACGTTCACCTTTTATTTTTATTTATTTATTTATTTTTTCAGATAGGGTCTCACTGTGTTGCCCAGGCTGGAATACAGTGGCGTGATCATGGCTCCCTGCAACCTCCAACTCCTGGATTCAAGGGATCCTCCTGCCTCAGCCTCCCTAGTAACTGAGACTAAAGGCACACACCACCACACCCAACTAATTTTCTTATTTTTTTTTTGTAGAGATGAAGTCTTGCCATGTTGCCCAGGCTGGCCTCGAATTCCTGGATTCAAGCGATCCTCCCACCCTCAGCCTCCTAAAGTGCTGGCGTTACAGGTGTGAGCCACCACACCGGGCCACACTCACCTTTGAGCATCTTGACGGCCACAGTGCTGGCTTGGTCAGGCCGGGCAGGGTCCATGCCAAAGGCCTCTGCACGTACTACCTGGCCAAAGCAGCCCTCGCCTAGGGGCTTCCCAAGCACCAGCCTGGAGATGGAGAAAGTCCAGCCTCAGACCTCCGAGTCACTCCTGCGGAGGGCGGGCTGCAACCCGGCGCCCGCGTCCCTGCCCCCACACAGCTCAGCGCACCTGTCCCGGGGGAACTCCCATAGTGGGTCGAGAGGTAGATCTAGACTCACGAGGCCGGCGAGCAAGGCGGGGCCGCTGGAGGAGAGACGCACGCCTCGTACCAGGGATGAGCTTGACTTGCCGGAAGAGCCTGACTCCAGGGAGAACTGCAAAGTGGGAGACTTGGTTCTGCCTGCTGGAGTCAGGCTGTCACATGTGAGGTGGGGGATGCGCCCAGTACCTGTCGGGCCAGAGGGAAGCGGGAGAGCTTCTGCACAGTGGCGGGCGGGCGGGGGTGCCGGCCGTGGAGCGCCTGCCCTCGATACAGCCCGGCCAGCAGCAGGAGCACAGCCAAGGCCAGGGAGCCCGACGCGTACAGGATGATGTCCGTATACCTGGCCTCGGGCGCTGCTGCGGTCCATGTGGGGTCCTCCTCTGCCCTCGCACATGGACACACACAGACAGACAAACTGGTCAGTGGTGAGACTGGCCGCCCCGTGCACCCTAACTCAGTCCCTCCCAGCTCCCAACATATGTGGGGACACACACGGAGGAAGCTGTAGTTATGCCCAGTCCCAGGCACCCACACCTCAGCAGACGGTCACATGGACGGCCACGTGTGGAGAGGCACAGAGGGGCTGTCATACAGCTCAAACCCACAAATCCACACACTGCCCCCCAGGCCAGACCCCACAGGCCAACAGAGACTGACCACCCAACAGGCCACAGCCCCCACTGCTGGCCCAGAGGGGCATCTCGCAGCATCTCCTGGCCCTTCAGGTGCTCACCTGGCAGCACCGTGAGCCAGGCAGACTGGTAGGAGAGGCCGATGGAATTGCCTGCGAGGCAGGTGTACTCGCCTGCGTCCTCGGCTGACACGTTCCGCAGGTACAGGACCTCCACCTCTGAGCTATTGATGTCTGCAGTCTGGGGTGGGGGACATGCTCTGGGGTCACAGCAGGGCCTGGGGCCACACTGTGGCCAACAGGGAAGCTGGGGAGCCCCCCAACCCAAGGTGGGAGAAGAATGGGGCCCAGGCTGCAGCAGGGTGCACCTTTTACCTTTAGGACTTGCACATAGGGGAAACCGTCGGCTCCGAAGCTGCTGCCGTTGATGACGATGTGCTTCAGCCACTGGATGTGGGGCTGGGCATCGCTGTACACCTTGCACAGCAGCTCCACGTCGCTGCCCACCACGGCTGTGGTGTTGGCCGGGAGCCCGGCCTGCAGGATGGGCCGGTGCGGGGACCGCTCTGGGGACCGGGCGAGACAGTCAACCCTGACCACCGGCACCCATAGAAGCACCCTGTTTGCCTCCCTCCAGCCTTCCTCAAGTTCAAGGGAGGGACCTTTCTGCAGCTTCTTGTCTGTCTCCTGCTTACCCTGCTTAAACCTTCCCTGGCTCCCTATTGCTTCGGGTCAAGGACAACATCTCAGCCTAGCATTCAAAACCCTCCACCACCTGGCTCCCCATATAAACGCCACGCCCTACGAATATGCTGGCCTGCAAGTGCAGGGCGTTTGTTATACTCAGGCCCTCCGCTCGGGCTGCGCCCTCTGCCTGGATGTCCTTCTTGTTTTTCCTCTTGGCAGACCTCTGCTCCTCCAGCCCCACACTAACCCCTGTGCTTTCCCCTGACCCACCTGCTCACCAAGCTGCCTGACTCATCTGAGTCCATCCTGCCTGCCAGACTAGACCCCACCAAGAGGGCACAACTGAGCCCAAAATGGGTCAGGCCTCCCCTGTTCCCAGCCCCGCGCTCACCCAGCACATCTAGCAGGTAGTTATAGCGGATGCTGCCCACAGCGTTCTCTACCAGGCAGGTGTATGTGCCGCGGTCCGAGGGCACCACGCTCTCCATCACGAGACTCCAGTGCTGATGGCGCAGCTGCAGGCAGAGAGAGTGTCCGGGACCACCGGACCATGTCCACCAAGGGGGCCAGAGGACCAGGAGGCTAGATCCTCATCCTGCCCACAGGGCTCTTGTCAAGCTCTCTAGGCCCTGAGAACATCAGGCCCAGGCCAAGGACTATGGCACAAAGGAGTAGGCTCCCCAGGGCGCTTGAGCCTTGGGTTTGAGCCTTTGGAATTTTAGCTCTCCCTCTCCCTAGCTGTGCTACTTTGAGCCAACCCTTGCCTTCTCTGAGACTCAGTTGCCTCATGACAGCATGGAGCCGACCCTGCAGGGTCTCATCAAGACGATGAGATGCTAAGGCTTATGCAGACCAACCAGTCAGTGATTCTTCTCCCTTTACAAATGGAGTTGCTGAGGCTGAGAGGTTAAGTCACTTGCCAGAGAGTAGCAGAAGGGGAACCAGAGCTGCCCAGGTCCACAGTCCAGGGCTCCTTCCGGGGCCCCGCAATCGCTTCACTCATTCGATTGATTTATAGGTATGCTTGTAGGTATGAGGGGACTGATGAAGGAATGAAAATGGGGGAGCAGACGGTCTTGGAACCCAGAGACTCACCCGAATGCCTCCAATGCGGTTCTCCCCATGAAAGGCCTGTCCATCCTTAAGCCAGCGGATGGTGGGCGTGGGGTTGCCTGCAGCTGGACAGCGGAACTTGACGGTGTTCCCCGCAGGTACTGCATGCAGTTTCTTCTCCATGCGCTGGGGGTGTGTCCAGTAGGGTGCTGGAGGGCAGGGGAAGGCCCCTAGAATGACCGTGTGTTCCCACACAGGCCTCCTCTTCTCAGTGATCAGATGAGCAGCAGCGGGGACACAAGTCCTTGGAGACCTACTGACCTTGCTGGGGGTAACTGTGCCTATTCGAGGGGTCCCTATGGGACTTGGGGTCCTCATCATCGTTGCTGGAGGTCAAGGAGTCTACATCAGGGACAGAGGGAAGCATCTAAGGTCCAAGAGGGGCAGGTCTGTCTCCCCAGGCATCCCTTCACTCCCTGCTAGAGTCTCTTACCACCTGTAATCAAGGTGAGATTCTGCAGGACGATCATGGAGCCTCGTGCCAGGCAGAGGTAGCGGCCAGCATCCTCAGGTAGGAAGCTGGCAATCTCTAGGCGGCCCCTCCAGCCCCGTACACGGCCAGCAGGTGCCAGGCGACTGCCCTCCTTGTACCAGTGGCCACCACGCTCAGCCCGCCCACAGCACAGACGCACAGGCTGCCCAAGGGCTACTGTCAGCTCCTGCTCTTGCTGCTCCAGGCTGGGAGCCAGGCAGGGCTCTGTGGGCAGAGGGCAGAGGTCAGCAGACCCCGCAGCCCCATCTGAGGCAGCCTCCTGTGTACAAAGAACACACCGCACATGCAGGGCACAAGCACTTTGCAACGCATGCTGAAGGAGCCACCACTCCTTGACACCCACACAGCCACATGCTGCGGATGCCACACCCAGGGCAAATGCCACACTCTTGGGGCATGTCACACACACAGCATTTAGTGCACACGACAGTGGCCAAGACACACACACACACACACACGCATACACACACACACATACGGACACACACACACACAAGGCACATGCTGTTGGTGCCACATACAGGGTCATGCTGCACCGGGGCATATCACCCTCATAATGCTTATACCACACATGCTGCCTGGACCTCCTAGGTCACACACCCAGTGCACAGAACACACACACACACGCACACACACCCAGGTAAGGAGCTCACCACCAGCTCTGCAGCCCAGCTTAGGGCCCTGCGCCCTGCAAGGCCAGTCCTCTCTCGCAGACACAGTGATAGATGAATGCTTGCTGGAAGCCAGGCACTGACTGAGTCTCAGTGGTTGAGCCCTGCCCTGCCGCCACCTTCTCAGGGCCTGGGCAAGGATCCTTTCCAGCTTTGCTCAGCCCAGCAGCCCCCTCCTGGTGCCCACTCTTCCCACCCCTGCCACCCTCTCCCACCTCAGAAGCCATACCAAGCTCCACTTCCTCAGAGGCCTCCAGGGACAAGACTGGAGGCCCAGGCACACTCAGCAGGACCCCCAACAGGGCCAGCAGCAGCCGCATCTCCTTCTCACAGCTCTCAGGGACCCAAGCTGGACTTCCCACCAACTGCCTTCCTAAAATAGGGAGGGAAAAGAGCTCCTGCTACACGTGCACCTTTGTGGGGGCTTTTCCCTTATTTTGCAGATAAGGAAACTGAGACAGGAAGTGGCCAGCAGATGTGTCCAAGTCCCTGGCCAGGCTGTGGCAGTGCAGACTGGAACCAGCTCTGTAGTAGCCAGAGCCTAAGGCCTCCCCACGGTAGGTTGTGCAAGGGGTCTGGGCTGGGCTTCCTGCTCTCCCTGAGTCCTGCTGGGACCCTGGCACACGTTCACAGAAAGCAGTTTTGGGATTCTTTTTTGGAGGGAAGCAGAGAACGGAGACATATCTTCTGCATGCTCTCGGCACACATAATTTCTTTTTTGCTAAATAAATGAATTGATTGCAGAAGAGCCAAAAAAGAAAGTGAAAAATGACACAAGGTCAAACTTCAGCATCTGGATGGCATCTGATCCGATCCCCACTCCTTACAGCATTACTGACATTTCCAGGGCTGGGTGGTCACAACTGACAAGGCGGCCCCTTCCGTGGCAAGCAGGACCGCGACCCTGGATACCTCTGCTTGTTATGCACCAACTCCATCTGAGGCACACACGGTTTTGTAAAGAATACAGACCCTAATTTTCCATCTGCCAGAGCCAAGTTCAAATCCTGACTCTCACCAACTTGTAATTCCTTGTCTCTGTCTCTCTCTGGCTTACTATCCTCATAGGACTGTTTTGAGGATAAAAGAGAGAACGTGCGTCGGCACGCAGAGTGTTGGAATGTTCTCCTCCCTGTGCCCGGCCCTAGAACGGTTAACCTGTTGCCCTGGGTCTGCCCTTAGCCAGTCACCTCTGGTTCGGATGCTGTTACTGTCAGGCTGTGATGTACACACACCCCAGCTGGCTATCCTCTTCCAAATGCTACCAAGGACGCCTCTGTTCCCCAAAATAGAACACTCAGAACTGAGTCTCAGCTGGGACAAAGGAATCGGTGACCACTGCAGTCCTAGGGGCCTATGGGTGGCACTGGTGTCTCTGGATCTACCCTGCGTGGGAAGCCTATCACACCTCCTCCTCCTTGGTCACTGCCACTCCACTTCCAGTCCATCTGGCTTCCCCTGCCCCTTCTCAAGGCAGGTCATGGCCATCTCTTGCATGGGCCTCTGGAAACATCCTCTCCCTCGGCTCTTCAACCTTCATCTTCCAGCAGAGTTTTAAAAAACTACAAGTCGGCTGGGCGCGATGGTTCACACCTGTAATCCCAGCACTTTGGGAGGCCGAGGTGGGCGGATCACGAGGTCAGGAGATCGAGAACATCCTGGCTAACACGGTGAAACCCCGTCTCTACTAAAAATACAAAAAATTAGCCGGGCGCGGTGGCGGGCGCCTGTAGTCCCAGCTACTCGGGAGGCTGAGGCAGGAGAATGGCGCGAACCCGGGAGGCGGAGCTTGCAGTGAGCCGAGATCGCGCCACTGCACTCCAGCCTGGGCGACAGAGTGAGACTCCGTCTCAAAAAAAACAAAATAAAAAAATAAAATAAAATAAAAAAACAAACAAAAAAACCTGCAAGTCTGCCATGTCATGCCCCCCAGCTTGCAAGCCCTTAATGGCTACCTGTGCCCAGCAGGATCCAGCTCAACATCCTAGGGCTCCCTCTCTGCCGCTGCCTATCTCTTTGGTCACACCGTCTGCCCCTTCAGGAGCGCTGAAGCCATTGGCTTTCAAAACTGGGCACATGTGCTCTCTTGCCCATCCCTCTGTGCCCCTCATTGCTCTTCTCTACCTGACTCAGATACTGCTGTCTCTGGCCCACCTCAACTCTCGAATCCAGTCGGATCCTCCTTGGTAAAACTCCCTACCAAGCTCGGCTTGGCAGGGAGGGCAGCTCTTTGGGTACACAGCTTGGGCTGGGAGTGGGTGGGGAGGCCCGGGGAGTTTATTCCTACCCCAGGCTGCCCTGATATCAGAGTCCTTAGTCGAGTCACCCATGGCTGCTGACCGCTGACCGACCACCCCCCACGTGGGAATGGAGGGCCTGCCTTAGGCATCAGACAGTCCTGGGTTCTCCTTCAGCCTCCCGCACTCGCGCTGGAGGCCCCCGGGCACTAAGTGACTGAACTTTTCGGGGCCTCAGGTCCCTCATCTCTGCCGCCGGCGCGAAGACAGCCGCAGGGACAAGCGCGCTTGTCCTCCCCCACCCTTGCCGGGCCAGCCTGGGGGGAGGTGCGAATCAATGGGTCCCGAGGGTAGCTGCACAGGGCCAGCCTGCCCCCGCCTCGGTGGGCAATGAGTAACCAGCTCCGCGGCCGGGGTGCTCTTTGGACGGAGCGGGACAAAAGGCCCTGTGTGCACTGCGGGTTACTGATTTACCGCCCCCTCCACCCCCTGCCGCCCGGCGGACGCCCAGGTCCCCTGCGCCGGGAGGGGCAGTCCCCGTAGCCCCGCCGCCTCTCGCCCCCTGGCGGCTGGGAGCGCAGCCCGGGCCCACAAGGGTTCCGGCTCACCTCGAGCCTGCGTGACTCCGCGCCCAGCACAGGGTCCTGCTCACCTGGCTCCTCCTCACCTGGCTCCTCCGCCGCCTCACTCCCAGCTCCAGCCGGCCGCGACCCCTGCACGCGGCAGGGTCCGCAGACAGCCCGAGCGCTCCTCGGCCGGGAGCGAGGAATGTACCCGCGACGGCGGCGTGGCCGCGAGCGGCCCACCTCCTGTCCCACCCCGCCCCTCGGGCCCGCCCCCTCCTGCTCGGGCCCGCCCCTCCTTCCACGCCCCCCCCCCCCCCACCCGGGCCCGCCCACCTCCTGCCACACCCCCTCGGGCCCGCCCCGCCTAGACCAGCTCGAGCCGGAGAGAGGTGTGGCCAGGGGTGGCCAAGATCCCCGCCCACCTGGAGAGCCCCGCCCCCGACCCAGTCAGCCCACTCCCGGGACCCCGCCCCAGCCTATACACACACCCCTACACGCAACCCCCCTATACACACCCCATTCAGGCTCCGCCTCTTTCGCCCCACCCAGGCCCCAGGCCAGGCTCCTAAATTCTAGTCTACTACCCAGCTCTACTCCTTGCTTTTCACCCTTCAGGGAATGCCTGGCTCCCCTGTCTTCTGCGCAGTGCCGTGCAGCGGATAGGAGAACCCCTTCCTTCTGCTCCCTCATTTGTTCCCTGCGCAACCTGCGGAGTGATACTTACAACACAAATCTGACTGTGTCAGCCACTCCCTTAAATTTTCCTATAGATTCCCATAGCTCTTTATACATAGATTGCCATGACCCACGCCTCCTGGCTCCCACCCTGCTACTCCTGGGCAGTTTCACGTACCATTCTCTCTTCCTGGAATGGCCCTTGGTCTGGTTAATTTCATATTATTCTCAGCTCACTTCCTTCAGGAAGCCCTCTGGACTTGCAAGCTCCTCTTAGATGACGTCTCTACTGTGAGGATGGAGAAAGAAACAGGGTGAAGTGGTTCAGAGCACAGACTACAGGGCTGGACGTCATAGGCCCAGCTCTCAGCACCATCACACAAGGCCTCAGTCTTCACTGTCCTTTCAGTAAAACAGGCAAATGATAGTCTCACCCACAAGAGGTTGTTGCAAAAAGTAGACATGTTAGCAGTATGTGTAAGCCTGGCATGCAGCGCTTGCTTTGTAATACTAGCTGTAATTATTTAGGACCTGTTATTTCTTCAGCACGCTTGCCAGAATTGTAACTGAACAGTTAATTATGTAAATAGCTGTGGAATGGCCGGGCACAATGACGGGTGCCTGTAGTTCTAGTTACTAGGAGACTGAGGTAGGAGGACAGCTTGAATTCAGGAGTGTGAGGCCAGCCCTGGCAACATAGTTGCCCTGTCTCTATTTTTCAGTAGAGGAACTGTGTCCTCAGACCTCACCATTAGAGTTCAAGTGTCTGGCATACAGTAGGTGCTCCCAGATAGCTCCGTGCCCACCTGGCTCATGTTTGCCTCACCTGTAAGCACTTCTCTCCTGAGCATCTAGACTGTGGCCAAACCAGGAGGCCAGGCAGCCTCTGATCTCTGCCCATCCCTCACCTGAATCTCAAGCCTTCTCCTTCTCTTAAGGCACCTTGAGAGGAAGGGAAATGGGCTGGGTGCACCTGTGGTCCCAGCTACTTGGGAGGCTGAGGCCAGAGGATTGCTTGAGCCCAGGAAGTCGAGGCAGCAGTGAGCCGTGATCGCTCCACTGCACTGTAGCCTGGGCAACAGGCTATGGAGCGAGACCCTGTCTGAGGCTCAGGTCCTGGTTGTCCCCTCTAGCTAGTGTAGACCCTGTCTTAAGAAGCAACTTCCTTTCTCATTGTTACGCAGGCAAGTCTAGTTCTTTCCACCCTCACTCCCAAAGGGATAGTGGCATATCTTTGCATAACTGTAAGGCCCATTAAAGAGACTTAAAATTGTTTTTTTCTTTTTCTTCTTAAGCGAAAGAATGGTCTCCTCCCAAAGATAAATCAGAAAATAATTGAGGCCAGGCATGGTGGCTCATGCCTATAATCCCAGCACTGTGGGAGGCTGAATCGGGAGGATCGCTTGAACTCAGGAGTTCGAGGCCAGCCTGGGCAACATAGTGAGATCTCGTCTCTATTAAAAATATATATTAGGCTGGGCACGGTGGCTCACGCCTGTAATCTCAGCACTTTGGGAGGCTTAGGTGGGTGGATCACGAGGTCAGGAGTTCAAGACCAACCTGGCAAGATGGTGAAACCCCAGCTCTACTAAAAATACAAAAAAATTAGCCAGGCATGGTGGCATGTGCCTGTAATCTCAGCTACTAGGGAGGCTGAGGCAGAGAATTGCTTGAACCCGGGAGGTGGAGGTTGCAGTGAGCCGAGATCGTGCCATTGCACTCCAGACTGGGTGACAGAGTGAGACTTTGTCTCCAAAAAAAAAAAAAAATATATATATATATATATATGTGTGTGTGTGTGTGTGTGTGTGTGTCTGTGTGTGTCTGTGTGTCTGTGTGTATATACATACACACAGACACACCCACACATATATATGTATATTATAAATTTTTTTTTAATTGGTTATCTTTTAAAAACAATTTGTCCTGGTTCCCTTCTCTAGAGTCCTGCCTTGCTGGAGCTCCCAGGACAGATGAGGCTCCTGGCCCTGGGAGCTGCCTGCCCAGAGGGTACCTTGCCAGACCTCCCGGACTGCTGGAGGGGTTCAGCTCCCTGCCTCTGGCCCTCTGCTGGCTCCCCTTGTGAATGTGGTTGTGGGGGGAGACAGGGTGAGCCGCCAGCTGGAGCTGGACCCCACATGGCTTTCATTCACCTTCCCGGGCATTTCCTGAGTTTACCAGAGCCAAAGACAAACTAAAAGTTTTCATAGCTCAGGTCTTGCAACCTCCTTGTCTCCTGAGATGCGCAAATCCCTCAGATTTGCAACCCTCTGATGTCCCTAGGATATGTTCCCCATATCCCTTGTCTGCCTCCTCTCCCCGCACTCATAACCTTTCACACTGACCCTCCACAGAGGCTGATGCTCCCTCACAAAGTCATTCACTCATTCACTCATTCATCTGAATGATTATTTATTGAAGGTTCATTATGTGGCATCCACTGTTTTAAATCCTGGGGATAAAGCCCCGAATTGGACTCTTTTTCTTTTCTTTTCTTTGGGAGACAGTGTCTTGCTCTGTTGTCCAGGCTGGAGTGCAGTGGTGTGATCTTAGTTCACTGCAAGCTCTGCCTCCTGGGTTCAAGTGATTCTCCTGCCTCAGGCTCCTGAGTAGCTGGGATTACAAATGTGCACTACTACACCTGGCTAATTTTTATATTTTTAGTAGAGACAAGGTTTCACCATATTGACCAGGCTAGTCTCAAACTCCTGACCTCAAGTTATCTGCCCATGTCAGCCTCCTCAAATGCTGGGATTACAGATGTGAGCCACCTCACCTGGCCTGGACCCTACTTCTACCCTTCAAGGGGCTGCTGACATTGTAGTGGGGACAGACAGATAAGTAATCAGTTACAGCCTGGGAGATAAGCTGAGCCAGTCAGGGAGAGCACCTAAGCCTTTCACACTGTCTCACTCTCTTGCTGACACGCAATCTTTCACCAGTCACATTTGCAGTCTCTTTCTCAAAGACATTCAGACACGACTGGGCACAGTGGCTCACTCCTGTAATCCCAGCACTTTGGGAGTCTGAGGTGGGCGGATCACTTGAGGTCAGGAGTTCGAGACCACCCTGGCCAACATGGTAAAACCCCATCTCTACTAAAAATACAAAAATTGGCCAGGCATGGTGGCACACGCTTGTAATCCCAGCTACTGGGGTGGCTGAGGCAGGAGAATCACTTGAACCTGGGAGGCAGATGTTGCATTGAACCAAGATCACGCACTGCACTCTAGCCTGGGAAACAGAGCAAGACCCTGTCTCAAAAAAAAAAAAAAATACATTCAGACACACACACACACACACACACACACTCTCTCTCTCTCTCTCTCTCGCTTAGCAGAGGCAAGAGCCTGTCACCCTAAGATCCTGCTGTTAACCTGCCTCTGCCTCAGTTTCCCCACCCAGAAAGCCGTCATGCTCCAGCTTCCTCTTCTTCCTTTTTTTTTTTTTTTTTTTGTGGAGATGGAGCCTCGCTCTATTGCCCAGGCTGGAGTGCAGTGGCGTGATCTTGGCTCACTGCAACCTCCGCCTCCCAGGCTCAAGCAATTCTCCTGCCTCTCCTGCCTCAGCCTTCCTAGTAGCCGGGACTACAGGCGCCTGCCACCACACCCAGCTAATTTTTGTATTTTTGTAGAGACGGGGTTTCACCATGTTGGCCAGGCTGGTCTCGATCTCCTGACCTCAGGTGATCCACCCGTCTCGGCCTCCCAAAGTGCTGGCATTACAGGCGTGAGCAACGGCTCCCGGCTGCTCCAGCTTCTTTCTTCCTAGGAGTGTTGGGGGAAATGAACGTGTTCCTGTTCCTGAGCTCGTGACTCTTCAGCTCCCGTTACATGCCAGGCATCATGCTGGGTGTTGTACATGGGTTATATCCTTTAATTCTTCCACCAAGCCAAATGGCATAGGAATCCTTAGCTCTGATTTGTAGGTGAAGAAACAAGCTCAGGGAGATGGAATTACTTATTTGAGGTCATCTAGCAAGTGAATTGCAGAACTCGAACCCCTGTCTTCTGGGGCAAAGATGGAGAGCTCGGGATAACTCTCCAGAGTGGGATCATTGATGCTACTGCATCAGATGCTTTCTGTCTCCATCCTTAACTGTGGCCCGGGAAGGTGCAGATTCACCTGAAGGTGAGTGTGTTGGGGAGGGAGGTGTGGGGGCTGGGACTGAGCACTGCACTCCTTGACCTTTTAGCCAGCAGTCCTGAGGAGACACCAGGCCCAGGCAGGGGTTTGCAGACTCTGTGCCTCTGGAATGCTGGGCTGGGCCAGGAGGGTCTCCTGAGGCCAGGTCCTACCCCCCACCTGCCTGGGGGCAGAGTCATCGGGGGGTAGAGGGCAGACGTTGCCTGGTGCCAACGATGTTGCTCTTGGATGGCAGCCGGGCCCAGGGAACACTGGGGCTCTTGTGCAGAAGGGCTGCCACTAAAGCCGGCCCGGCCCCTGCCCAGGCCCCACTGCAGCCCGGGCCTGGCCCTAACTCTGGGCCCAGTCTTGTTCTTTTTTTTTTTTTTTACCCCCAAGATGGAGTCCTACTCTGTCATCCAGGATGGAGTGCAGCGGCGCAATCTCGGCTCACTGCAACTTCCGCCTGCCGGGTTCAAGCACTTCTCCCGCCTCAGCCTCCCGAGTAGCTGGGATTACAGGCGCGCACCACAATGCCCAGCTGACTTTTGTATCTTTTGGTAAAGACAAAAATCACCATCTTGGCCAGACTGGTCTCCAACTCCTGACCTCAGGTGATCTGCCCACTTCGGCCTGCCAATGTGCTGGGATTATAGGCGTGAGCCACTGCACCCTACCCAGTCTTGTTCTTTCTTCATTTTTTTATTTTACATTATTTTTTTTTTTGGTGATGAAGTTTCGCTCTTATTGCCCAGGCTGGAGTACAGTGGCGCAATCGCGGCTCACTGCAAACTCCGCCTCCCGGGTTCAAGCGATTCTCCTGCCTCAGCCTCCCAAGTAGCTGGGATTATGGGCATGCACCACCATGACTCGCTAATTTTTGTATTTTTAGTAGAGACAGGGTTTCATCATGTTGGCCAGGCTGGTCTCGAACTCATGACCTCAGGTGATCCACCTGCCTTGGCCTCCCAAAGTGCTGGGATTACAGCCATGAGCCATTCTGCCTGGCCTCTTTCTTCATTTATTCTCCTTCCTTCCTTCCTCCCTCCCTCCCCCTCTTCTTTCCTCCTTCCTTACTCTTCCTCTTCTTTTTCCTCCTCCTCTTCTTTGTCCTCTTCTTTTTTTTTTTTAAACAAGTTTTATTTTGAGAACATTTTAAAATACAGAAAAAGTACACAGGGTCATACCATACCCAGCTGCTCAGAATTGACAATTGTTCATTACCATTTCTTTTTTTTAAGTTGAAACAGGGTCTCATTATGTTGCCCAGGCTGGTCTTGAACTCCTGGGCTCAAGCAATCTGCCTGTCTCGGCCTCCAAAAGTGCTGGGAGTACAGGCTTGAGCCACCGCACCTGGCCTATTTTATCATTCTTTTCCAACCCTTTTCTACCTTGGCTTCTCCACAGGCTCCAGGGAGGTCTAGCTTGGCTGGTCAAAACGGAGGTGACATTGACAGAAAGTGAGTGATTAAAGGTTGGGTGTCAGAGTCGGACAGATCTGGGTTTTTTTTGGAGACAGAGTCTTACTCTGTCGCTCAGGCTGGAATGCAGTGGCACGATCTAGGCTCACTGCAACCACCACCTCCTGGGTTCAAGTGATTCTCCTGCCTCAGCCACCTGAGTAGCTGGGATTACGGGTGTGTGCCACCACGCCCAGCTAATTTTTGTATTTTTGGTAGAGACGGGGTTTTGCCATTGTTGGCCAGGCTTGAACTCCTGGCCACAGGAGATCTGCTGGCCTCAGTCTCCCAAAGGGCTGGGATTATAGGTGTGAGCCACCTTGCCCAGTGACAGATCTGGGTTTGAGTCCCGAAAACTCTTTGTGGTCACGGACAAATCACTTAACCTCAAGCCTCAGTTTCATCTTCTGTGAAATGGGAATAATACATCTTCCGTGAGGACTCAGTATGATGATGTATGTCAAGCACAATGCCAGTGCCTGGCATATACCCCTTGCTCACTGAAGAGTAGCCAATATGAATATTTGCAGCTATGGGCCTGGGACCCACCCAAAAGCATGGGCAACACCCTCCTGTGACCGAAAGGGAGGGACTGTGAGAATGACCCCTCCTCAGCCTTCATTTCTCCTCATTTCCCACCCGTCCTCAATTCTGGGTACATCTGTCTCCAGTTTATACTCTGAAGACAGCAGGGCTGTGAGTTACAGGTTGCCCAGGGCATTTTTGTGGAGGCAGAGAGTTTAGAGCTGATGACAGCCTGGGAGAGCTCTGGGGAGGCTTCCAAACCAAAGTGGATGGAGGGGAACTGGGGAGGAGGGATCTGAGTGAGGTTAGTCCCGGCTAACCTCACTCAGTTCTAACTACCCTGGGCTGGTCCTGGGGCTTCTCACAGCCTCAGTAGCACCCCCCGTCCCCTTATTCACTGGTCTCGGATACTCTAGACCTGTGGCCTGGCTTGCTAGGACAGGGGCTTTCAGGCTTTGCCAGACTCAGCCTCTCTAGACTTGGGCCTACAAGCCTCACACCCACCGGGTGTTGGCATGCACGTCTGTTTGGAGGAGGACCGACAGCTGGGAAGTGGCAGAGGCTGGGCTGGAAGGGTGAGAGGGTTGGTGGTCTCCAGGGAAGCGGGAAGTAAACTCGTGCCCTTCTGTACTTTGCCCGGTGCCCTGGACCATGGAGGGTTTCGTTGGGGTGTGAATAACAGAAACCTAAGTGAGCAGGGCCTAAATGAAACAGTGTATCCATCTCTCACTTAGCCCCACGTCCAGAGGTGGGTGTAGGTTGGTCTGAAGTCAGGGTTGAGGACTCGTCCGTTCTCCAGGTTTTTCTCTCATGGTCGCAAGATGTTGGCTTCAGCTGCTGCCGTCACATTTGTGCAGAGGCAGGAGGAAGGAAGAAGTTCCAGAGAGTTGAGTTTCCACACAGCAACTCCCAATTTCATTTCCTTGGCCAGACTGTGACACGGCCACCCCTAGCTGCAAAGGAAGCCAGGAAGTATATTCATTTTGCTGAACCCCTTGCTTCCCCTAACAAAACCAGGGGCTATCAAAAAGAAGCGGTGACTGGTTCCCAAAACGACTTTTTTTTTTTTTTGAGTCTCTCTGTCGCCCGGGCTGCAGTGCAGTGGCATGATCTTGGCTCGCTGCAACCTCCACCTCCCAGGTTCAAGCAAATCTCCTGCCTCACCCTCCTGAGTAGCTGGGATTACAGGTGTAAGCCACCACGGCTGGGTAATTTTTTGTATTTTTAGTAGAGACGGAGCTTCACCATGTTGGCCAGGCTGGTCTCAAACTCCTGACCTCAGGTGATCCACCTGCCTCAGCCTCCCAAAGTGCTGGGATTATAGGCGTGAGCCACCGTGCCTGGCCCCAAAATGACTTCTTTAAACTACGGATCTAACCAAGTCACTCCTCAGCTTTTATTTTTTTAAAATCATTTATTTATCTATTTATTTGAGACAGAGTCTCATGCCCAGGCTGGAGTGCAGTGGCATGATCTCGGCTCACTGCAACCTGTCTCCTGGGTTCAGATGATTCTCCTGCCTCAGCCTTCCAAGTACCTGGGATTACAGGCGTGTGCCACCATGCCTGGCTAATTTTTGTGTTTTTAGTAGAGACGGGTATCACCATGTTGGCCAGGCTGGTCTCGAACTCCTGGCCTCAAGTGATCCGCCTGCCTTGGCCTCCCAAAGTGCTGGGATTACAGACACTAGCTATTACGCCCGGCCAGCTTATTTTTATTAGAGACGGGGTCTTGTTACATTGCCAGATGGGATTTCAACTGTTAGGCTCGCAGGATCCTCCTGCCTCAGCCTCCCCATTAGCTGGGACTCCAGGCATGTGCCACTGTGCTGCCACTCCTCACCCTTAACTACTCTCCCCCCACCACCCACTGGCACCCCCAGCTCCTCAGCCTGACATTCAGGGCCCTCCAGGACTGGCCTCTGCTGCTCTCTGCTGTCCCAGCTCCAGTCTCCCCCAAGACACCTGCTGTTTCGCAGCTGCAGTGAGCTCCAGGTAGAGCCTCTGAATGTGCCTGACTGGCTGACACCGTGGCGTCTTTGCTTATGCTGCCTTTGTTGCTGAGCATTCTTCCTCTGGCCTGCCTATCTGTCCTCCCCGCTTTCCAGGCATTCTACCAGATACCTGCCATTCAGCAGGTATTTCTGGACTCCTCTCAGGCATTCCCTTTTCTTTTCTTTTCTTTTTTTGAGATGGAGTCTTGCTCTGTTGCCCAGGCTGGAGTGCAGTGGTGCAATCTCAGCTCACTGCAACCTCCACCTCCCGGGTTCAAGCAATTTTCCTGCCTCAGCCACCCGAGTAGCTGGGATTACAGGCACTCACCACCATGCCCAGCTAATTTTTATATTTTTAGTAGAGATGGGGTTTCACCATGTTGACCAGGCTGGGCTCGAGCTCCTGACCTCAGGTGATCCACCTGCCTCGGCCTCCCAAAGTGCTGGGATTACAGGCGTGAGCCACCGCGCCTGGCCAGGCATTCCTTTTTCTTTCAGATCCCTCCTGGCCACCCTAAACTGGACATTAAAACCCTTTTCCTCTCTCTGGTAACGACCCCTCAAACTTTTCTTGATGTCGTGGTCCTCCCCTACTAGCAGTCCACGGGGGACTGGATGAAACCAACACTCCTCCTTGGCATTTATGGTGGACATGTGACCCAGACCTGGCTAAGGAGAATATTCCATCTCCCAGGCCATTGTGATTAAGTCAGAGATGAGCATGTGACCATGGGAGGGCCAATGGGAGCCAGTCTAGGTCTTTTATTGGAATGAATAGGAAACCAACTCTCTGAGAAGCTGAGCTGTGAATAGGGATGCCTAGAGTTGCTTGGGAGAGCTTCTCTGTGAAAGACAGCAATAAAGGAAACAAGAGGGCCAAGAGCTGGAGTGCACCCGGATCAAGCCTTGCCTGAAGCCATTCCTTCTTTGAACATTTCACTATGTGAACCAAATAATTTTTTCTTCGGCTAATCCTTTTTCTTAAACCCTTTATAAATAAAAGGCTCCTTCTCAGTAGAACACCCTTCCTTTGTGTCTCCACTCTCCTCTGTTGGCTCTTTGGCCATAGTACTCATTTGTTTACATGGCAGCAAATTCATCCTGTTTTCACTGCTATTTGTTTAAAACCTTTTAATAAATTTCCATGGCTTTTAGGAAAAAGACCTGTATTAGTTATCCATTGCTTCATAACACATTACTTTTAAACTTAACGACTTTACATAACAAATATTTGGCTGACTATTGGTGTTAAAGAAAAAATTATTCAAAGATACTTGTTTTTATGTTTATTTATTTATTTTTCTTGAGAGTCTCGCTCTGTCGCCCAAGCTGGAGTACAGTGGCGTGATCTCGGCTCACTGCAACCTCCGCCTCCTGGGTTCAAGCGATTCTCCAGCCTCAGCCTCCCAAGTAGCTGGGATTACAGGCACCTGTCACCATGCCCAGCTAATTTTTGTATTTTTAGTAGAGACGGGGTTTCACCATATTGGCCAGGATGGTCTCAAACTCCTGACCTCAAATGATCCACCCACCTCAGCCTCCCAAACTGCTGGGATTACAGGCGTGAGCCACCACGCCCGGCTCAACGATACTTATTAAAGCACAGTAAAGAAAACTTTATTCAGGACCATTGAGATAGTCACAGGGACCACTGCAATGGGATCTTGCAGAGGGGGAGAGAGATTGGGCTCCATTCTGAATACAGCATGGGCGAGTGGGAATTCTGAGCCAAGGAACAGAGTGGGGAGCAGTGAATGGAAAATGACTAAGAGGAAACGTTGGGGTAAAGGGGTTCTGTCCAAACTGACCCAACAGGATTCTTGCTGAAGACAGGCCCATCAGCCATCACCTGGGGGATGGTGGAGGAGGAGGAACCTGATCAGATATCGAAGATGGGCGGCAGTTCTTGCTAAACTAGACTTAGCAGGTTCTTTGCTAAAACTAGATTTTACAAGGAAGTGCACAGATGGACCTAGGAGAAGGCTCAGAAGCCTGACTAAAATTTGGCCAACCAAAGAATCTTTGTCATTGGTAGAAGACCTACATTTCTCTCAACAACAGCCTCTTGATAGGGCTGCTTGAGTGTTCCCACAACACGTTAGCTGGTTTCCCTCAGAGCTGGTGATCCAAGAGAGAAATATTGAAGCTGCAATGTAATGTATAACTTACTCTCAGACATCAGATTCTTGTCACTTCTGTCTTATTCTATTAGTTAAAAGTGAGTCACAGCCAGGCACAGTGGCTCACGCCTATAATCCCAGCACTTCAGGAGGCTGAGCGAGGAGGATTCCTTGAGCCTAGGAGTTTGAGACCAGCCTGGGCAACGGAGTGAGACCCTAATAAAAAATATTAGCCAGACGGGCGTGGTGGCTCACGCCTGTAATCCCAGCACTTTGGGAGGCTGAGGCAGGTCAATCGCCTGAGGTTGGGAGTTCGAGATCAGCCTGGTCAACCTGGTGAAACCCTGTATCTATTAAAAGTACAAAAATTAGCTGGGCGTGGTGGCGGGTGCCTGTAATTCCAGCTAATTGGGAGGCTGAGACAGGAGAATCGTTTGAACCCAGGAGGCAGAGTTTGCAGTGAGCCGAGATTGCACCACTGCACTCTAGCCTGGGCGACAAGAGAGAAACTCTGTCTCAAAAAAAAAGGAAAAAAAAATTAGCCAGGCACAGTGGCGCATGCCTGTAGTTCCAGCTACTCAGGAGGCTGAGGTGGGAGGACTGTTTGAGCCCAGGAGATCGAGGCTGCAGTGACCTATGATTGTGCCATGCACTCCAGCCTGGGGGACACAGCAAGACCTTGAGTCAATCAATCAATCAGTAAGTAAAGTGAATTGCTACTTACAGCCCATATTAGGGGATATAGGGTAGAAATTAAACTTGACCTATTGAAGGGAGGAGTATTAAAAAGTGTAGATTTTTTTGTTTGTTTGTTTTTTGAGACGGTGTCTGGCTCTGTCGCCCAGGCCGGGGTACAGTGTTACTCATCTCGGCTCACTGCAACCTCTGCCTCCTGGGATCAAGCCATTTTCCCGCCTCAGCCTCATGAGTAGCTGGGATTACAGGCACCCACCACCATGCCCGGCTAGTTTTTTTTTGTATTTTTAATAGAGACGGGGTTTCACCATGTTGTCCAGGCTGGTCTTGAACTCCTGATCTCATGATCCACCTGCTTTGGCCTCCCAAAATGCTGGGATTACAGGCGTGAGCCACCATGCCCGGCCAAAATGTAGATATATTTTATTTTTATTTAAAAAAAATTCTTTTTTTTTTGAGACGGAGGGAGTCTTGCTCTGTCGCCCAGGTTGGAGTGCACTGGCGCGATCTCGGCTCACTGCAAGCTTCGCCTCCTGGGTTCATGCCATTCACCTGCCTCAGCCTCCCGAGTAGCTGGGACTACAGATGCCCACCACCATGCCCGGCTAAATTTTTGTATTTTTAGTAGAGACGGGTTTCACCGTGTTAGCCAGGATGGTCTCGTTCTCCTGACCTCGTGATCCGCCCGCCTCGGCCTCCCAAAGTGCTGGGATTACAGGTGTGAGCCAACTTGCCCGGCCAGGAATCCCTCCTCTGTCTGACCTAACTGCCCTCTGCCCTGGAGCTGCTCAGCCTCTATCAATTTTTCTGGCTCTCAGCGAACGTTTTCATTCAGTTGCAAGACACAGAAACTCAAATTCAAACCTGCTTACACAAAATAGTGAATGTACTGGCTCATGCACTTTTTAAAGAGATGAGGTCTGTTGTGCTGCCCAGGCTGGATGTGAACTCCTGGGCCTAAGAAATTCTCCTGCCTTAGTCTCCTGAGTAGCTGGGACTACAGGAGCATGACTGTAAGTCCTGGTGTGAATCAGGCTCCAGAAACAGCTTGATCCTGGTTCCCAACAGTATGGTCAAAACTCATTCTCTCTTCTGTCTTCTTCTCTATGACAGGTGCTCCCTAAGAAGTGACAAAGAAGGCCACTAACAGCTCTGGGCTCGAGACATTCCCACTTGGCAACTTCTCAACTGTTCTGGCAAAAGCCAGGAGAGTGGAGGTCTTCCCCACCCGGACTACATAAGCTGAGGGTGGGGTTTTTCAAAGAAAAGCTTATTATAGGAAGAAGGGTAAACAGACACTAGGAAGCTTCTGATTATTATACCTAGTGATTCTGTGAGCCTTTACTGCACAAACTGTTCCCAAACTTAATTATTTAAAACAATGTATTATTTCTCACAATTCTGTGATTAGCTGGGCTCAGGTGGCAGTTCTGCTTATGCTGTGGATTGGCTATGCTAGAGGGTCTGGGATGTCCTCCCTCACATGTATGGAGCTGGCTGTTGGCTTCTCTCTCTACCTGGTCTGTGGTCGCCACATGGTCTAGCCCAAACTTCCTTTCACAGGGTCAGGAACGGAAGCTGCATGAGCACTTAAGTCCTAACCTTGGAAGTCGTACAGTCATGTTACTGAATTCTCTGATCAAAGCAACTCACAAGACTAGTTCAGATTCAAGAGACTGGGAAATGGACCCCCCCCCTCCCCCGCCCGCCCGATCTTGATGGGAGCAATGATAAAGTCACATTGCAAAAGGACACAGGCACAGGGAGGCAATGATTCATGGGAGGCCATTATTGAAACAATCAACTGTGTTCCACAACTCGCCTCTTCTAGTTCCTTTCACTAAGCCTCCTCCCACCCCAGCAACCTGGCTCCTTTGACCTTCATGACCACTAGAGGATCATCTCCCTCAATAAGTCTTTCCGGCCAGGTGCGGTGGCTCACGTCTGCAATCCCAGCACTCTGGTAGGCCGAGGTGGGAGGATCGTTTGAGCTCAGGAGTTCAAGACCAGCCTGGGCAACACAGTGGGACCTTGTGTCTACAAAAAATAAGATAATTAGCTGGGTGTGGTGGTGTGCGCCTGTAGTCCCAGCTACTCGGGAGGCTGAGGTGGGAGGATCACTTGAGTCAGTGAGGTCGAGGCTGCAATGAGCTGTGTTTGCACCACTGCATTCCAGCCTGTGTGACAGAGTGAGACGCTGTTTCAAAAAACAAACAAAATAAATGTCTTTCCTGTGAAATCCCAGCAATGGTCCCTACCAGACCATACCCATTTTTATTCATTTATTCATTAATGTATTCAATCACCAAGCAGTTATTAAAACATAAGCACAGTCCTATGCTAGGGACCAGGGATGCAGTATCATAAGACCCAATTCCTGCCCTCAAGCAGTTTCTAGTCTAAAAGAAGAGACAGGGAATTAGATCATCGTAACACAGCATATTAAGGGCTATGCTAGAGGGGAACACAGGGCATCTGGGAACACAAAGGGCAGCCAACTTGGCCTTGGGGGCCAGTGATCTCTGGATGAGTGGAGGTCCCCAGGTTGACAAGGGGAGCTGGAGCAAGTATTAGGCAGAAATCTTGGTTGCAAGTTATAGAAACTCAACTGACTTAAAGAAAAGTCATAACTAAAAAGTCCTGGGGGATATTAGCTTCAGGCATAGCTGGATCCAGGTAGTCATCAGAAATGAGTCTCTCCTTATCTGGAGTACAGTGGTGTGATCTCGGCTCACTGCAACCTCCGCCTCACGGGTTCAAGCAATACTCCTGCCTCAGCCTCCTGAGTAGCTGGGACTACAGACGTGCGCCACCACGCCTGACTAATTTTTGTATTTTTAGTAGAGACAGGGTTTCATCATGTTGGCCAGCTGGCCTTGAACTCCTGACTTCAAGTAATCTGCCTGCTTTGGCCTCCCAAAGTACTGGGGTTACAGGTGTGAGCCACCGAGCCCGGCCTCCTCTGTGTTGGCTTAGTTCTGAAGCAGGCTGTCCTTACATGCTGGACACTAACAGCTGAAGACTATGACTGTGATTACTCAGTCGGGTCACAGGCTCACTCCTGGAATCAGAGAGCAGGGCCAGTCCCTCGGAACCACAGGATCTGAGAATGGAGCAGGTTTGTCACCCAAAGGAGAAAAGGAAAAGAAGGGCTGTGGAGCTGGCCTGACATCAGGTGTACTTCTAGACAGGTGACTAAGTTACAGCCCTCAAACAGAGAGGGCCTCCTGAGGGAAATGTCCTGAGGGAAGGGGAAATCGGCCTTGGGAATGAGCAGAAGTGCTAAGATCAAATCTCTCTCCAAGGCTACTTCTTGGTTGTGTAAGCTCTGCAAGACTTTGTCCCTGACTTTCTCCTGTGAAATCAAGTCTTTGCCAGTTGTCCTGAGGGTTAACTGAAATAGCATATACAGGGGCTCGTGAAGTCACCCTGTTCTCTTCCCATTAAATCAAACAGTAAAGTCCCAGGGCTGGTCTACCTTGCTAGAAAAAAGAAGCTGACTCCACCTAGTGGCTAATGGGGTCATTGCACTGAAGAGTTGAACATTTACAGAACTGCGTTCTGATATTCCTAGACAGATGAAGCAGCATATATGAACAGTAAGCTTGGGAGAGACAGGCCGGGGACGGGTCTGCCCTGTCTCTGTAACAGGGCTTTGCACAGGGCAGAGAGGTGAGGTTAGGTGGATGGATGGTCAGAGGGAGAAAGTGTTCTTCCTATTGTATTTTACACTAGTGACTGCTCATCAGAGCATCTGGTTTGGGGGTGGGGACAGCTCATCTGGCAGGGACTGCTGTGAGGGAAGGAAGGGCTTTCTTCTTCTTCTTCTTTTTTTTTTTTTGAGACAGAGTCTCGCTCTGTCGCCCAGGCTGGAGTGCAGTGGCACGATCTCAGCTCACTGCAAGCTCCGCCTCCCGGGTTCATGCCATTCTCCTGCCTCAGCCTCCCGGTAGCTGGGACTACAGGCACCCGCCACTACGACCAGCTAATTTTTTGTATTTTTAGTAGAGATGGGGTTTCACCGTGTTAGCCAGGATGGTCTCGATCTCCTAACCTTGTGATCCGCCCACCTCAGCCTCCCAAAGTGCTGGGATTACAGGCGTGAGCCACCGCGCCTGGCGCCTGGCCCCTTTTTTCTTTCTTTCTTTTTTTTTTTTTTAAGAGGCTCCCATTATGTTGCCCAGGCTGGATTTGAACTCCTGGGCTCAAGCGATCCTCCTGCCTCAGCCTCCCGAGCAGATGGGATTGCAGGCACGTGCACCACACCTGGCTTAGGGCTCTGGGAGGAAACTCTACCTGTTCATTGCTACTTCTTCAGGATTTGAGCTGGGAACTGTGATTTCTTCTAACTTCCACTTCACAAGGCCTCAGGTCACATATAGCTGGTGGCAGTGCTCAGACCAACACTTAGGGCTCCTGAATCCCAGGCCCTTGTCCCTCATGCCACCCCTCATTGGCTGCTATACAGGTACATGTCTAGATCTGTGTCTGCACTGGTGGGTTGTTATATTCAAACAGCTGCTTTGCATCTAGCTCTGGGCTAAGAGTATGCTTCCACTTCCTCTTGGTTCCATTTCATGCATGATTCCATTTCTTCCCCTCAGGTGTGACACCTCAGTAGTGTCACTGGCCAAAGAGCCTTGGGCCTGGGATAAGCAGGGGCTCCCCAGTAGTGGAGGGTGACTTTTCGCTGGGCCCCAGTAAAGAATCACTTCTAGCCACTATGCTACTTTTCCCCCCGCCTCAGTCAGACCGGATTACTGAATCTTATTACATGGGGCTATGCCAGATGCCATCTGCTTGTGGCCTTACCCCCGCTCCAGGGGGACTCAGGGCTTACTTCAGGTCAACAATAGAAAGAGCAGCAGCTATCATTTATATAGCATTTATCATGTGTAAGGCACTATTATTTCATATCCACCTATTCTTTTAATTCTCATGATCACCCTGTGAGGTAGGTACTAATGTTCCACCCCGAGGCAGCTTTGCGATGGCAGAGCTGGGATCTGAACCTTAGCTGCTTGCTTCCCAGAACCTGAGTTTTCGCCACTACGCTAGACTGCCTCTCCAGAGCTGATGCCTCTCTGAGACCCTCCCTAGGCACTGGAGCCATGAGCAGGGGCTCCCTCATATGCTTGCCTGCTGTATTGTGGGTCCTGGGTATTGATTTCTGAGGCCATTCGAGGCTACAAAATTCAAACCTGTCTTGAGCATGCTAAAAGTAAGAAGGGCCCTGATTTCAAGTCAGGAACTATGGATTCAAATTCCTGGGTACCACCAGAATGGCCAATATTAAAAAAACTGACAACACCAAGTGCTAACCAAGACGTGGAGCTGCTGGAGCTCCCACACACTGCTGGTGAGGATGTAAGTCAATAGAGCCACTTTGGAAAACTGTTTGGCAGTGTCTAGACAAGCTAAACATATGCCTACTCTATGATTCCACGCCTGAGTAGATGAGTGAACATGTGTACCAAGCAGCATGTAAAAAATCCTTCACAGCAGTTTTATTTATGATACCCCCAAACTAGAAACAACCCAGTTGTCCCTCAACAGGATGGCTGGGCCAGGCTTGGTGGCTCACGCTTGTAATCCCAGCACTTTGGGAGGCTAAGGTGGGTGGATCGCTTGAGCCCAGGAGTTTGAGACCAGCCTGGGCAACAGGGTGAGACGCCATCCCTACAAAAAATACGAAAAACTAGCTGGCATGGTGGCATGTGCCTGTAGTCCCAGCTACTTGGGAGGCTGAGGCGGGAGGATCACTTGAGCCCAGGAGTTCGAGACCAGCCTGGGCAACAGAGACTCCATCTCTACAAAAAATAGAAAAAATTAGCTGGTGTGGTGGCATGTGCCTGTAGTCTCAGCTACTTGGGAGGCTGAGGTGGGAGGATCACTTGAGCCCAGGAGGTCGAGGCTGCAGTGAGTCTTGATGGCACCACTGCATTCCAGCCTGGGGGCCAGAGTGAGAACATCTCAAAAACAAAAACAAAAAAGTAGGATGGCTAAATTGTGCTATATTCAAATAAAGGACCACTACACAGCACGAAAAAACTCAACTTGTTTTTTTTTTTTTGAGACAGAGTCTTACTACGTCACCTAGGCTGGAGTGCAGTGGCGCGATCTCAGCTCACTTGCAACCTCCGCCTCCCAGGTTCAAGCGATTCTCCTGCCTCAGCGAGCAGCTGAGATTACAGGCATCCACCACCACGACCAGCTAATTTTTGTATTTTTAGTAGAGACAGGGTTTCACCATGTTGGCTAGGCTGGTCTGGAACTCCTGACCTCAAGTGATGCGCCCGCCTCGGCCTCCCAAAGAGCTGGGATTACAGGCATGAGCCACTGCGCCTGGCTGAAAAAAAAAAACTGAACTTCTGAGACATACAGTAACATGGGTGAATTCCACAAACTAATATTGTGCAAAATGTATGATTCCATTTTTATAAAACTCAAGAGCAAGCAAAACTAATCTATAATGATCGAGGTCAAAATAGTGGTTGCTTCTGGGGGATACTGACTAGGAGGGGAAATGAGGGAATGTTTTAGGGACCTGGCAATGTTCTGTATCTTGATCTGGAGGGTGACTGCCCCAATGTATACATGTAAGTGAGGATTCATCAAACTGAAGTCTAAAATTGGTGCACATTACTGAATGTATGGTGTACCTCAAAAAGTTAGAGAAAAAAAGGAAACAGTTAAACAATTTCTGGGTATAGTGCACAGTTGTTTTTGTCCCCCTCCCCCTGCATCCATTCCCCCTTAATCTGGAAAGAGCCCTACAACCTTCTTCTTTTGGGGTTGTATCACTCCCTCTCTCAATGTTTTAGGTGGAGCTGACTCAGCTTTAGGCACATGACCCAGGCCCCAAATCAGAGTGCCTTTTCCCCTAGCCACAATGATTAATTCAGGGATGAGAACAGGACTAAACCAGTTGAGGCAATCCCAGATATTTTGTTGGAACTAGTGGAGAAAGGTGTTCTTTCCACTGTTGTTACTAACGTATCAGGATAGAAGCCTGGGGCTGCCAGTGGCCACCTTGGCACCTCTTGGAGAGAGCTTGCCTGAGAAAGGGCACACAGAGGAAAGCAGAGGGATAGACAATTCTTCCTGATGAGACCATCTCCGAGTCTGGGTCCAGCTATCATTGTATGTGGATTTTTCATTAAGTGAATCAATACATTTACCTTTTTAGCTAATCGCTTTGATTTGGGTTTCTAACACTTTAATAATTAGAGTCTACTACACTGGGATCATGGGAATGGACAAAATTATGAGAAAAATGGAGGGACTTGGAATATAAACATTGAGCCTTGTCTCATCTGTTTTGTGGGTGCTGCCCCTGCCCTGAGTGGCTGCTCACCCTGTGAGACCATGGCACTGACAGGAGATGGGTGAGGCAGGCTGCAGGGGCCATGTGGGAGGTACTCTGGTCCTCACTCATAAAGGGTTCCAGAGGAAGTCTAGAGAACTGGATTCTACTCTCCATTTTGTCATTTCTTAGAGGCAAGACCTTGGGCAAATCATGATACCTTTTTCAGCCTTGTTCCTTCTCTCCATGGTTTTTATTTATTTTATTTTTTATTTTTTGTAGAGATGGGATTTCACCACGTTGGCCAGGATGGTCTTAAACTCCCGGCCGCAAGTGATACACCCGCCTTGGCCTCCCAAAGTGCTGGGATTACAGATGTGAGCCACCCTGCCTGGCCTCCTTCTCTATATGGAATATTAACTCTTAGCTCAAAGGTTGTTATGCAGATGAAATGCTAGCTTTCCAACCTCTCCAGCTTTTTCATGCCCTTGGCTGAGTCAGCTCCTGCATCCTGGGCATTCTTATCATTGTCATCATGATCTTTGACTGTGTGTGAACCCCTAAGGGCAAGAAAGTGTTCATCTCTAGGTCCCTTTACCAACAGGGCTGGCCACACAGCTGGTAGGGACTACAAAGTGGTCTTGCAGGCCGGAGGCTCACGGTATGATAGCCCACTCACCCCCTGCCCTTCATTTCCTTGCTTGGTAGATGGGGCTGAATCTGACATACTAGGTGGCTTAGAAGGACTCTGGGGAATTGCTGAGGCAGTCTGATCATGGGAAGCTGAGAACCTCCCTTGGGGCTGTGTAGAGCCTTTCACAGCTGACCAGGAGCAGGGGCTGAGTGGCACTGAATGGGAGCTGAGGCTGCCTGGGCCCCTTCCTCAAATCTGGCTGTCTACAGTAAAGGATGGACAAAGAGCTCTTGAGGCCATAACATTCCTTTCTTTTTTTAAATTTTAAAAATTATTATTTTTAGAGACAGGGTCTTGCTCTGTTGTCCAGGCTGGAGTACAGTGGCATAATCATAGCTCACTGCTGCCTTGAACTCATGGTTAAAGCGATCCTCCTGCCTCACCCTTCCAGGTAGCCAGGACTACAGGAATGCACCACCACACCTGGCTACCTTCTTTTAAAATTTATTATTTATTTATTTTGAGACAGGAGTCTCACTCTGTCACCTAGGCTGGAGTGCAGTGGCACGATCTTGGCTCAATGCGACCCTCCGCCTCCCGGGTTCAAGCAATTCTCTTGCCTCAGCCTCCCAAGTAGCTGGGACTACAGATGTGTGCCACCAGGCGCAGCTGATTTTCGTATTTTTTATAGGGACGGGGTTTTGCCATCATGTTGGCCAGGCTGGTCTCGAACTTCTGACCTCAGGTTATCCACCTGCCTTGGCCTCTCAAAGTGCTTGGATTACAGGCGTGAGCCACGGCGCCCAGCCTTCAAATTTATTTTTATAATTTTTTTTTTTTTTTAGATAGAGTCTTGTTATGTTGCCCTGGCTGGAGTGCAGTGGTTATTCACAGGCATGATCACAGCATACTTCAGGCTGGAACTCCTGGGCTTGAATGGTCTTTCTGCCTTAGCCTCCTGAGCAGCTGGGACTATAGGTGCATGACGCCGCACCTGGCCATAACACTCCTTCTCAGCTCATTTTTGAGTCATGAAAAATGCTCTTTCAAGAATCACCAGGCCTATGATAAGTCCCATGGAACAAACCTATCACTGTGTAAGAGCTGAGCAGGAGAAAACCATCTCTCCTCATACACCTCATTTGTTCATTCAATAAAAATTCATGACACACCACTATGGACATCAGGAAGTAGAGATGAATAAGGCTGGGTCTCTGCCCTAAGTGATTAGCCTGGAAAGCCATACTGGACACAGTGTCCATACTGGCCTCCTTGTCTCCTTTCCTGCCCCTCCCTGCACTCCTTTACATAACAGCCAGAACAGTTCTCTCAAACATAAAGCAGATCCCCAGCTTAAACCCTTTAAAGACCTTCATGAGGCCCTATGTGACAGGAGAAGCAGGAGAAGGTGGTGGATGAGAAGATGAGGCTGTACTGAGTTCAGGGCACCTGAACTCAAGGGAGACTTTCACAGGGTGCTCGACTCTGTCCCAACTCCTAAAGTGACTACTGGGGACTACTGAGGTCTGAATGGGGTGGGGGTGAGGGGTCAAGACAGACATACTAGATCCAATGGCAATATGGCTCAAAACCCTAGGTCTGTTAAGTTGTAGTCTGGCCCATGAGGGAAATTCTTTATTTGGATGCTTCAGTGACCAAGAGACAGAGCATTAGGCACACACAGAAGCACACACATACACACAAACACACACACACACACACACACATCCACACACAATATGCAAAGCAAAGGCATTTCACAGGTGAAGGGATAGGGAGTGGGGGAAGGAGGCCACGAGAGCAGCTAGGGGCTTCTTTGACACAATGAAGAGAAGCCTCTGATGGTGACACTCCTTGGAATTCTCGTCTCAAGGTTACAAGGAAAAATCTATCCGTGTGGACTCAGTCCCAGGCCATAAAACACAGCAAAGATAGAGAAATCTGGGTGTGGGGCCTGGGAAACGCCTGTTCCTCACTGTAGAAACCTGCATCAGCTCTCTCTTTCTTTCCCTGGGACCCAGAAATCACCCGGTGGATGATGGGGAAGGCTAGCACCACAGCAAACTGGGCAAGTGGTCCGCTGCACAAGGGGGAAGAGAGGGCTAGTAGGGCCGAGGGTAGCAATGAACCTCACAGCTAGCGGGCATGAGGCAGTCTGCCTTTAGGGGCAGAACCCTCAGGGAGACTTGCATGTGGGGCACTTTCCCGTGTAACCTAGGGTCAGAGCACCTCTGATGGAGGAGGGGAAAGGTCCCATCCCCATTGGAGTGTCCTATGATCTCAGTGGACATGGAGGCCGCCCCCAGCCCCAGCTCGTTGCCAACTGCTGCAGATCCTTAGCACCATTCAGGAACTGTGGAGGGGGCAGCGGGGGTAGCAATGCTCCGCCAAGATTGTGTCACTGCTCCAGGAGGATACTTCACAGTTGGCAGAAACCTGCGCAACTGGCCATATCTGGTCTAAGACTCAGGAAAGCCTGCACCTTCTGGGGGAAGGCAGAGTGTCGTATTAGCTCCAAGCTCCCATGTTGCAGCCATTTCCTCTGTTTCCTGCCCTGCCCCAGGTTTGGCATGAAAGTTCCAGGTTTTGCTGGAAATGTCTAGGGCCCAGAGAGATCTCTGCTCTTTAGTTGCAAGAACTGGCCCAAAACTGACCTTTAGAGGAAAGACAGGTGGCAGGGGCCTCAGCACCTAAGGCCCAGAGGGGTTGGGAAATGGGGAAAGCCACCCTCCAAACTACCACCCCGCGAGACCCCGAGTCTCTCAATACCCTTGCCTCCCCTGTCATGACCTACAGGACCCCTGCCAAAGGGGAGCAGCAGGAGTGAATTAGCCCGGACCAATGAGAGGCTGTCTGTGGCCCAATCCTGCCTCAGGCCCGTGTACTTTCCTGGTGAGAACAACGAGCAAGAGGGAGCCAAGGGCTGAGCAGTCACGGGAAGCTGGCTCATGGCTGGCCCAATATGGGATGCTGGGCAGAATCACCTCTAGTCTTCCAAGGTGGTTGAGTCTTTCTGAATGGGTTGCCTTTGCATTGGAATCTGGCCCAGGGATGATGCCACTGTTTTTGGTGACCTGTATTTGAGAAGGAACAAAGGAAGAGGGTCAGTGTGTGGCAGCTGTATTGGCCTACTGCAATGATAGCACTGCCCTTCCAGGGCCTTGGAGTAATAGACAGGACACCTTTCCTTCACTGAGGTCCACTGTGGGCTGGCAGAATGCTGGATGCTTAGCTTCCATCATTCCATCCTCATGGCAATTCTGCAAGGTGAGAAACAGCACCCTCATTTTACATACAAGGAAACTAAAGTTCAGAAAGCTTAAGTGGCTGGCCCGAAGTATGTTTTTAGGTGGTAGGTTCAGGACTGTAGCCAATGCCTTTTCACTATACCAAACCACTGCCTACAGGGCCCTATAAAAACTCATTCCATTTGGTAGTGGCAGAGTAAAATGAATGGGCTTCGAAGTCAAACAGGCTTGAATCCCAGGTCTAACTGCAAGTAACTAAGTGACCTTGGGGAAGTCAATTAACCTATCTGATAATTAGGCTTTCTTTGGTTGTAAAAGATGGGTTTGGGAGGGGGTATCCTAATTTCAGACCTTTTGTTGAGAAATTTAATGAGACTCAATCAGGTATTCAACAAATTATAGCTTTATTCTTACAGAATTAGAGGCTTTTTTAAAATTTTGAGACAGGATCTCACTCAGGCACCCAGACTGGAGAATAGTGGTGCCATCATAGCTCACTGCAACTCATGGCTCACTCCAACTCCTGGGCTCAAGCTATTCTCCCACTTCAGCCTCTCAAGTAGTTGGGACTACAGGTGTGTGCCGCCACACCTGGCTAACTTTATTTTTTGTAGATGGGGTCTCACTACATTGCCCATGTTGGGAGAATTACAGACTTATTGACTTGCCCAAGGTCACACTGCTGGAAAGTTTAGCAAGAGAGCAGCGAACAACACTGGCAATTTCAGGTGTGGGTAGCCCCAGGGAGGGGCTCTGGTTGGCTTCAGGTTGTCTACTGTAACTGCCATCAGCCAGGCTGCAAGGGAGGTATGTATGCTGAAACACTGTGGGGCTGAGTTGCTGGGGCAACTCAAGTCTACACCTAAGAGTCCCCCAAAGTAAAAAACATATTCACAGGTAAAGAGGATGATCTGCTACAGTGTGAGAGAGGAGACTCCAGGCAGAGCAGAGAGAACTAAGGACATTTTTTACACCAATACTCTGTGTTTCTACCACCTTTAAATCATTCAGCTCAATGAGCAAAGCAAAATCAATGACCAAAGTCAAAGCAATCATTTCGGCAGCTTGCCTGCCTGAAACTCAGTTTCCTTGTCTGTAAAATGGGAATTCTTCTACCTATCTCAGAAGGTTATGCTGGGGCCAGGTGCAGTGGCTCATGCCTGTAATCCCAGCACTTTGGGAGGCCGAGGCAGATGGATCACTTGAGCTCAGGAGTTTGAGACCAGCCTGGCCAATATGGTGAAACCCCATCTCTACTAAAAAAAAAAAAAACGTTATGTTGTGGCACACTGCTCATACCACACGTTTCCCTTCGGAGAGGAAGGGACAGAACCATGTGGGCCCTCCAGGCCAGGCCCTATTCTCTTCATATCAGTGGTGCCATAGCCTACTTCTGAGCCTGACGCCTTGGGAAGAGCATGCTGTGAGCCAGACAGGCTTCAGTTTGAATCATGACCTTGCTTCATTCACATCACCACTTTGAATGCTGGTTGTCTATATGTATAAAATGGGAATAATTATCTCTTCCTCTCAGGGTTGGAAGGATTACCTGAGAAAATCTGCTTGACATATGGCCTGCAACAGAAGAGGGGCTCAATGAATGTTAGTCACTTCCAAGATTACCATGAACAGGTAACTCTCTGTTCACCTGGTTCCTTCAAAACCCTTATCACAATCTGTGATTATTGGTTGTTTACTTGCTTAGTCTGTTTCCTCCCACCAGGCTGTAAGGTCAGGAGAGCAGAGACTGGGTCTGTCTTGGCCATCATTCAGAAGATGCTCAATATATATTTGATTAAGGAATGAGAGGGCCTGGTCATATTTGATAATGACCTATAGAGGGAACTCCTGCCAGAAAAGGAGAGGGTCTCCAGGCCAGTGGAAAAGCACTTCCCCAGTCAGAGTGCTACAGACTAGGACAGCCAGGTGTTCTTAGGGTCCCACCAAGGAAATCATGTATGCTTCTCTATTAAACCCTTGAGTCCAACAGGTCTAAAGGCTGGGCAGAAGCTGGTGGAGAAATACATATAGAGGAGACACTTGTTCCTGTTACATGATTCATCTTCTGTTCACTGAAAAAAGACTGCCAGGATTCCATTTCAGCCGAGAACTACCTGGCTTTGTTCTGATGCAGAAGTCCTGAGCTCCTGCTATGGATCCTAGAATTTCAAAAAATGGTTACTTACTGGTTCTTGTGTTTGAAGCCGCTGACATGAGCTTGGTACTGTTCTATGGAGTTCAGCACTATCTTACATGTTTTGCAGGGGTAGCCCTTTCCAGCTGAAACACATCAAAATCAAGATCTTAGTAATCCAGAAAGAAGGAACCTGAAGACCGTTGCTTTTCAGAGTGTACAAATGCCCTTCTAAGGACGGACAGGTGAGGCGAGGTGAGGTTGCTGGCCCTGATGAGAACCCAGAGGCCACAGTGCTAAGGAGGCACAGACTGTGTGCCTATGTGCTTCCTGGGGTTGGGAAGATCCTCATTCCTGTGTCCCTCGTTCCAGCGTAGAGCCTGGCCCAGACTAGCTGTCTGCTGAGTGATAAAAGAATGACAGAACAGAGAGGTGACATTTGGTCTGTATTTCTACCTTGACTGTGCTAAGTGGCCTCATTAAGGACGTCCTTCACTGAGAGATCTCTGGGAAGGTGCCACTCTCCTAGGGCTTGCGGTAACAGTAATTAGTGAGAACGCTGGTTATGATAATCAATCTGTCTTTCTACCCTGGGAATCACAGACCCTATCTCAGGGCTGCTCCAATGACAAAGTGGCTTTTCCCACATGGTCTGGTAGTGAGGGAGGAGCCAGGATAGGGAACTGAACTGCTGGTTCTGCTTTCAAGTGATCTTAGCTAGATCCTTTCCTTTCTTCTGATCCTTTTCTTTTCTTTTTTTGAGACGGAGTCTCGCTCTGTGGCCAGGCTGGAGTGCAGTGGCGCGATCTTGGCTCACTGCAACCTGTGCCTCCCGGGTTCGAGGGATTCTCCTGCCTCAGCCTCCCAAGTAGCTGGAACTACAGGCATGTGCCACCACACCCAGCTAATTTTTGTATTTTTGGTAGAGACAGTGTTTTATCATGTCGGCCATGATGGTCTCTCTCTCTTGACCTCATGATCCATCCGTCTAGGCCTCCCAAAGCGCTGGGATTATAGGCGTGAGCTACCGCACCCGGCCTGATCCTTAGCTTTTCTTACCCTCAAACCAATTACACCGCAACTTGTTTTTTTTTGAGACAGTCTTGCTCTGTCGTCCAGGCTGGAGTGCAGTGGTGCGATCTTGGCTCACGGCAAGCTCCGCCTCCCGGGTTCACGCCATTCTCCTCCCTCAGCCTCCTGAGTAACTGGGACTACAGGCGCCTGCCACCACACCTAGCTAATTTTTTTTGTATTTTTAGTAGAGATGGGGTTTCACTGTGTTAGCCAGGATGGTCTTGATCTCCTGACTTCGTGATCCACCCGCCTCGGCCTCCCAAAGTGCTGGGATTACAGGCGTAAGCCACCACCCCAGCCCACAACTTATTTATTTATTTAGAGATGGAGTTTTGCTCTTGTTGCCCAGGCTGGAGTGCAATGGCGTGATCTCTGCTCCCTGCAACCTCTGCCTCCCAGGTTCAAGCGATTCTCCTGCCTCAGCCTCCCAAGTAGCTGGGACTACTGGTGCGTGCCACCATGCCTAATTTTTCTATTTTTAGTACAGACAGGGTTTCACTATGTTGGCCAGGCTGGTCTCAAACTCCTGACCTCAGGTGATCTGCCCGCCTTGGTCTCCTCCCAAAGTGCTGGGATTACAGGTGTTGAGCTACTGTGCCCAGCCCAACTTATTTTTGATTTTTTTGAGATGGAGTCTCATTCTGTCACCCAGGCTGGAGTGCAGTGGAGGCACCTCCGCCTCCTGGGTTCAGGCAATTCTCCTGCTTCAGCCTCTCGAGTAGCTGGCATTACAGGCGTGCACCACCACGCCCGGCTAATTTTTGTAGTTTTAGTAGAGATGGGGTTTCACCATGTTGGCCAGGCTGGTCTCAAACTCCTGACCTCATGATCCACCCACCTCGACCTCCTAAAGTGCTGGGATTATAGGCGTGAGCCGCCGTGCCTGGCCACACCTGGGTAATTTTTGTATTTTCTTCTTTTTGTAGAGGTGGGGTTGTGCCATGTTGCCCAGGCTCCAAACCTCCTCACGCTGGAACCAGGATGATCCGCCCGTAAAGCTCAAACTGGCAGCGGCTTCCCAGTCCCAGTGCTCTCAGGGTGAAGGCCCGCTGCCCTAACATGACCCACAAAGCCATGCGTGGACACCTGCTCATGTCCTCCGCGTCACTACGTCCCATACTATCCTACTTGCCCTCTGGGGTGCCTTTCTTGATCCCTGCTCCCCCATCTTATCTCCTCTCATTTTATGTGCCCACAGTCTTGCATTTGTCTTTTTTTCTGAAGTTTGTCACAGTTGTAACTGTTTGCTCAATGCCTGTCTTCTCTGCTAGACTGTAAGCTCCATAAGAACACAGACAATACCTGTCTTGTTTACTACGTATTTACCACAATGCCTGGCACATATTAGGTAAAAGTCCAATAAATACTTATTGACTATATATGAATTTAGTAAGACTTGAAAACTTGTCCTGTATATAAAAGCTGAAGAAACTGGGGGACCAGCATGGGGCTCAGAAAGCAGCTCTACTGAGTGGGAGATAAGACCCTAATTAGGGAAAGTAATGGGGTGAAGCAGAGGATTTCAGTAACCTGGAGGGGACATTCAATGCTCTGGGGGCAAGAAGGATTTGCCTGAATGCTATGTAGGTTTTAGTTCTGGCCTTCTTGGGTGAATATGAGAGAAACACAAGCCTGGAGTATAAAACCACTCTAAGGCTTATTTGATCTGCGTGGTAGATGATGCATTTGCCCCTGGTGGGATTTGGATACCCTGGGTAATCTTACAGTAGGTCCATACTTGCCATGAGACACTTGTCAGGGACCCTCAGGAACTATTCTCTGGATCCAACACAGAACTACATTGGGTTTCAATGTGGGCTCTGGCTCTGCCACTCTTTAGTGTGGAACCCTGGAAAATCACTTCACCTTTCTGGTTTTAATATCCTCATCTGTAAAATGGGGATAATCAAAGTTGTTCAACAGTTATTGTCAGGATTAAATCAGGTAATTAAATGTGAGAGCACCTAGCCCAAGCCCTGGACTATAACACCTATCAGTAAGTGTTAGGTGACTTGACTAAATGAATGAACTAAATGAATGAATGGCCTTGAACGAAGCCAGCAGGGAGAAGACAAGCTGTTAACAAACCTAAATAGGCCGGGCACAATGGCTCATGCCTGTAATCCCAGCACTTTGGGAGGGCGAGGCGGGTGGATCACTTGAGGCCAGGAGTTCCAGACCAGCCTAGCCAACCTGGTGAAACCCTGTCTCTACAAAAACAAAAACACCTAAATTCTTTGCTAAGGTAGAATCCTTGTCAGCTGAAGTCATTACCTGCATATTCTAGGTCAACAGCCCACCTCTGTAAGAAGGGGGACAGAGTGGGGCTCAGTGCCTCTGCTAGACATCCTACACTTGGAGAGCCTCCTGCCAAGTATGCTGAGAGCTGGAGGCAGGTGGAAGGAGTGTAAGGTTTGGAGCCACACAGAGCTAAAGACCCACAGTGATATCAACATTTATTAACATCAAGGGCTTATCAGCTGTATAAGCTTGAACCATTCACTGTGGGTCTCAACTTCTTTATTTGTGAAGTGGTCAAAATCATATCTATTTATAGGAACGTGTGGAGATTAAAATTATAATGTATATATTCCTATCAAAAGGGGATCTAATACCCCTGACTCTCTGCCTAGTTATTTTATTTTATTTTATTTTATTGAGATGGAGTTTCGCTTTTGTTGCCCAGGCTGGAGTGCAATGGCGTGATCTCGGCTCACTGCAACCTCCGCCTCCCAGGTTCAAGCAATTCTCCTGCCTCAGCCTCCTGAGTAGCTGAGATTACAGGCATGCACCACTACGCCCGGCTAATTTTGTATTTTTAGTAGACACGGGGTTTCTCCATGTTGAGGCTGGTCTTGAAATCCTGACCTCAGGTGATCCGCCTGCCTCAGCCTCCCAAAGTGCTGGAATTACAGGCGTGAGCCACCGCGCCCAGCTATTTTTTTTTTTGAAATAAAAAAAGTATCGATATTCTTCAAATCCAAGTCCTCTTGAAAATCTATGACCTCAGGCTGGGCATGGTGGCTCATGCCTGTAATCCCAGCACTCTGGGAGGCTGAGGCGGCCACATCACCTGAGGTCAGGAGTCTGAGACCAGCATGGCCAACATGGTGAAACCCCGTCTCTACTAAAAATACAAAATTAGCTGGCCGTGGTGGTGCATGCCTATAATCCCAGCTACTCGGGAGGCTGAGGCAGGAGAATTGCTTGAACCCAGGAGGTGGAGGTTGCAGTAAGCCGAGATTGCGCCATTGCACTCCAGCCTGGGCATTAAGAGCGAAACTCTGTCTCAATAAATAAATAAATAAATAAATAAATAAATAAATAAATAAGAAAATCTATGACCTCAGAGTGAAGGTGTAGAACACCTGATTTTTCTTTTTTTTTTTTTTGAGACAGGGTCTCACCCCGTCGCCCAGACTGGAGTGCAGTGGCACAATCTTGGCTCACCACAATCTCCGCCTCCCAGGCTCAAGCGATTCTCCTGCCTCAGCATCCTGAGTAGTTGGGATTACAGGTGCACACCACCATGCCCAGCTAATTTTTTTGTATTTTTAGTAGAGACAGGGTTTTGCATGTTGACCAGGCTGGTGTTGAACTCCTGACCTCAAATGATCCACCCACCTCGGCCTCCCAAAGTGCTGGGATTACAGGTGTGAGCCACCACGCCCGGCTGAGAACACTGGATTTTAAAGTCATGTTATTTGGCTTGATTGCCACCTGCATCTCTAATTGATAATATACAACTTAGTTTTAGAGTCTTTATTTGTTCTACATAAGGACCAAAAAAAGAGAAAAAACTTAAAAGAAAAAGAGACACAGGTCTTTTTTTTTTGAGACAGAGTTTCACTTTTGTCACCCACGGTGTAGTGCAATAGTGCGATCTCAGTTCACTGCAACCGCCGCCTCCCGGGTTCAAGTGATTCTCCTGCTGGGATTACAGGCGCCCACCACCACACCCGGCTAATTTTTTGTATTTTTAGTGGAGATGGGGTTTCACCAGTTTGGCCAGGCCGGTCTCAAACTCCTGACCTCAGATGATCCACCCGCCTCGGCCTCCCAAAGTGCTGAGATTACAGGCGTGAGCCATCAAACCCAGCCACAGAGGTCTTTCTATAATACGTTCCTCTATGTATTTAAAAACTTGAAATAACTAGCATAAAATGAATATTCCATTCAGTAATAATTTCTTGTTTTTTATTTTTAATTTATTTTATTATACTTTAAGTTCTAGGGTACATGTGCACAACGTGCAGGTTTGTTACACACGTATACATATACCAAGTTGGTGTGCTGCATCCATTAACTAGTCATTTACATTAGGTATATCTCCTAATGCTATCCCTCCCCCCTCCCCCAACCCCATGACAGGCCTGGGTGTGTGATGTTCCCCACCCTGTGTCCAAGTGTTCTCATTGTTCAATTCCCACCTGTGAGTGAGAATATGCAGTGTTTGGTTTTCTGTCCTTGTGATAGTTTGCTCAGAATGATGGTTTCTAGCTTCATCCACGTCCCTACAAAGGACATGAACCCATCCTTTTTTATGGCTGCATAGTATTCCATGGTGTATATGTGCCACAATTTCTTAATCCAGTCTATCATTGATGGACATTTGGGTTGGTTCCAAGTCTTTGCTATTGTGAATAGTGCCGCAATAAACATACATGTGTCTTTATAGCTGTATGATTTATAATCCTTTGGGTATATACCCAGTAATGGGATGGCTGGGTCAAATGGTATTTCTAGTTCTAGATCCTTGAGGAATCGCCACACTGTCTTCCACAATGGTTGAACTAGTTTACAGTCCCACCAACAGTGTAAAAGTGTTCCTATTTCTGTACAACCTCTCCAGCACCTGTAGTTTCCTGGCTTTTTAGATTCTTTTTAGATTTTTATTTTTTTGAGATGGAGCCTTGCTCTGTCGCCCAGTGCAGTGGTGTGATCTCAGCTCACTGCAACCAGGTTCAAGAGATTCTCCTGACTCAGCCTCCTGAGTAGCTGGGACTACAAGCGCATGCCACCATGCCCGGCTAACTTTTTTTTTTTTTTTTTTTGAGACGGAGTCTGGCTTTTTTGCCCAGGCTGGAGTGCAGTGACACGATCTTGGCTCACTGCAACCTCCTCCTCCTGGGTTCAAGTGATTCTTGTGCCTCAGCCTTCAGAGTAGCTGGGATTACGGGTGCATGCCACCATGCCTGGCTAGTTTTTGTATTTTTAATAGAGACGGGGTTTCTCCTTGTTGGTCAGACTGGTCTCCAGCTCCTGACCTCAGGTGATCTGCCTGCCTCGGCCTCCCAAAGTGCTGGGATTAGAGGTGTGAGCCACTGCACCCGGCCAATTTTTGTATTTTTAGTAGAGATGGGGTTTTGCCATCTTGGCCAGGCTGGTCTCGAACTCCCGACCTCAAGTGATCCACCTATCTTGGCCTCCTAAAGTGCTGGGATTACAGGCGTGAGCCACTGTGCCTGGCCCTAGTTTTCGATTTTAATCAATAAGTTATTTCTGAGGCAGGGGGAGATACTTTGCCGGTTCAAATTAAAAAGGACTCAACAAGGCCAAATTTATGTTAAGAAATCAGAAACAGATCCTTTGGAAAAGCCTAATATTTTTCTCCTACTAGGTCTTTCTAGACTGGACACCAGGATGTTGAAAATACTGACATTACCCCTTTATTACCAAAGATATAGAGTCAATTTCCAGTTTCCACACATTTATGAAGTAACTTTCTCAAGTTCTTTTAGTGCCCAAAATTTCAGAGATAGCTATATGAAGTCTCAGAAAAATCTACATATTAGGGCCGAGTGTGGTGGGTTCGCACCTGTAATCCCAGCACTTTGGGAGGCCGAGGTAGGTGGATCACCTGAGGTCAGTAGTTTGAGACCAGCCTGGCCAACATGATGAAACTCCGTCTCTACTAAAAACACAAAAATTAGCCGAGTTTGGTGGTGGGTGTCTATAATCCCAGCTACTCAGGAGGCTGAGGCAGGAGAATTGCTTGAACCCAGGAGGCAGAGGTCGCGGTGAGCCGAGATTGCACCATTGCACTCCAGCCTGAGTGACAGAATGAGACTCTGTCTCAAAAAAAAAAAAAAAAACCTACGTATTTGTAAATGTAATATATAATAGTAATATGTAGCAAAATCTACATATTAGTAAAATTTCAATACAATTTTTTACTTTTCAGAAAGGTATCTTTACCATAAAGAACCTACTATTTCTTAATTTATAGAATCAGTTTTTACCCAGAAATCTAAGTAAATTGAATTAGTTAAGTTCACTTGAGGTCCTTCTGTTCTGGATTAATAGATTATACTATGCAATCATTACAGTAGTCCCGCCACCACTCCCCACTCAACATCTGCAGATTTGCTTTCTATGGTTTCAGTTATCTGTGGTCAACTGCAGTCCAAAAATATGAAATAAAAAATGCCGGCCAGGCACGGGGGCTCACGCCTGTAATCCCAGCACTTTGGGAGGCTGAGCTGTGTGGATCACAAGGTCAGGAGTTCAAGACCAGCCTGGCCAACATGGTGAAACCCTGTCTCTACTAAAAATAAAAAAAAATTAGCCGGGCATGGTGGTGGGCACCTGTAATCCCAGCTACACGGGAGGCTGAGGCAGGAGAATTGCTTGAAACTGGAAGGCGGAGGTTCCAGTGAGCTGAGATGGCACTGCTGCACTCCAGCCTGGGCAACAAGAGCGAAAGTCCATCTCAAAAAAACAAAATAAAAAAATAAATAAATAAATAAAAAATAGCCAGATTGGGCATGGTGGCTCATGTCTGTAATCCCAGCACTTTGGGAGGCCAAGGTGGGTGGATCGCTTGAGCCCAGGAATTCAAGACCAGCCTGGGCAACGTGGCGAGACTCTAGCTCTACAAAAAATAAAAAAGTAGCCAGGTGTGGTGGCACACACCTGTGGTTAAACAATTTGGGAGGCTGAGGTGGGAGGAATGCTTGAGTCTGGGAGGTCACGACTGCAGTGAGCCATAATTGTGCACTGCACTCCAGCCTGTGTGACAGAGAAGACCCTATCTCAAAAAAAAAAAAAAAAATTCCAGAAGTAAACAATTCATAAGTTTTTTAAAGTGCTGGCTATTCTGAGTAGCATGATGAAATCTCAAGCTATCCCATTCTACCCTGTTTAGGATGTCAATCATCCCTTTGTTCACCACACTGTATACGCTATCTGCTCATTAGTGCCTTAGCCATGTTGGTTCTCAGAGAGAAAAACACCGTATATAGAGGGTTTGGTATTATCCACCATTTCAGATATCCATGGGGGGTTTTGAAACGTATCCCCTATGGATTAGGCATGGACTAGTATATTCTAAAAACATGTTAGTATGTCACAAAATGTTAAAATATACATACATTTTGAAATGTTTTAAGAATACAGTTGGAATGCACAGTAAAAAGGCAGCAAATATTTTCTCCCAATGAATTCATAGCAAACAAGAACACATGTAAGAAAAACTCATCAAGGTCGATATTTTTTTCCCTCTCTTAACAGTATAATATTCATGAAAACTGAATTTCTTCCAGGTCTTTTAAAATTATCCTTATTGTATTAGAAATGGTCCAGTCAACTTTAAGGAATGTTCATTTTAAAACAGCATTAAAAGTACCAAAATACACAAATACTTTGGGCAAGACTTAAATGCATACTTGATAACAGCAGGCTGGGTGTAACGGCTCATGCCTGTAATCACAGCCCTTTGGGCGGCCAAGGTAGAAGGATGACTTGAACCCAAGAGCTCATGACCAGCTTAGGCAACATACAGAGACCCTGTTTTTTTTTTTTTTTTTTTTTGAGATGAAGTCTTGCTGCTCTTTTGCCAGGCTGGAGTGCAGTGGCGCGATCTTGGATCACTGCAACCTCCACCTCCCGGGTTCAAGCAATTCTCCTGCCTCAGCCTCCTAAGTAGCTGGGACTATAGGCGTGTGTCACCACGTCCAGCTAATTTTTCTATTTTCAGTAGAGACTGGGTTTCACCATATTGGCCAGGATGGTCTCGCCCTCTTGACCTTATGATCCACCTGCCTTGGCCTCCCAAAGTGTTGGGATTATAGGCGTGAGCCACTGCATCCAGCAAGAGACCCTCTTAAAAAAAAAAAAGGTAAAAACAAGGAATTCATCCTTTACCAATGAGTGGTGAATGGATCCTGCAAGTCAGCAGAAGATTTCCATGCTTTCTCTCACTCTACAGATGTTCCTTGACTTACAATGGGGTTACATCTAGATAAACTTATTACCAATTGCTGCCTAGCAGTGCAAGAGAAGTACAGTTTCTACTCAACATCTATTGCTTTCACACCATCGTAAAGTTGAAAAAAATCATAAAGCTGAACCATAGGAAGTTGGGGACCATGTGTACGTGTAGTTTTAGTAGTTTTTCTTAGTACCAGTATCTCCTTAACATAACCACAACCAAAGAATGGGGGAGGCAAAACTTTAATGTAGGGGTCTAAATTCTGCTGATAGGAAGCAACCTTTTCTCTCTCAGGGGTTCACCTTTGTGGAGGTACAAAGTAAGAACTATCAGAACATGAGATTCTGATCTAATCCGCTAAGGGTCCTTGGCCCAAATCTGGCTTGCAGACAGGTCTGACTTACACAGGGTTTAAAAATAGTTTTTTTTTTTTTTGGCTGGGCTTGGTGGCTAATGCCTCTAATCCCACCACTTTGGGAGGTCATGGCGGGTGGATCACTTGAGGTCAGGAGTTCGAGACCAACCTGGCCAACACGGTGAAACTCTTGTCTCTACTAAAAATACAAAAAAAATTAGCCGGAAATTAGCCATGTGGGGTGGCACATAACTGTAATCCCAGCTACTCAGGAGGCTGAGGCATAAGAATCGCTTGAACACAGGAGGCAGACGTTGCAGTGAGGTGAGATGGTGTCATTGTACTCCAGCCTGGGAGACAGAGTGAGACTGTCTCAAAAAAAAAAAAAAATTGTTTTTTTGATACATGTTCTCGCTCTCACTCAGGTTGGAATACAGTGGCACAATCATATCTCACTTTAGCCTTGACCTCCTGGGCTCAAGTTATCCTCCCACCTCAGCCTTCCCAAGGTGCTGGGACTACAGACATGCGCCACATGCCCAGCTAATATTTAAAATTTTTAGTAGAGATGGGATCTCACCATGTTGGCCAGGCTGGTCTTGAACTCTTAGGCTCAAGTGATCCTCCTACCTTGGCATCCCAAAGTGTTTGGATTACAGCATAAGCCACTATGCCTGGCTGGGCTTAAAAATTTTTTAATTTAGTTACACATTTAAAAATCAGAGGGGCCGGGTGCAGTGGCTCACGCCTGTAATCTCAGCACTTTGGGAGGCCGAGGCGGACGGATCACGAGGTCAGGAAATCGAGACCATCCTGCCCAACATGGTGAAACCTTGTCTCTACTAAAAATACAAAAATTAGCCGGGCGTGGTGGTGTGTGCCTGTAGCCCCAGCTACTCGGGAGGCTGAGGCAGGAAAATCGCTTGAACCCAGGAGGTGGAGGCTGCAGTGAGCTGAGATTGCGCCGCTGCACTCCAGCCTGGGTGACAGAGGGAGACTCCATCTCAAAAAACACAAACGCAAAAACAAAAACAGAGGGATTTCTATATAAATCTGGCTTTCCAGAGTCTTTTGAAAACCTGAAAGAGGGCTGGGCGCGGTGGCTCACGCCTGTAATTCTAGCACTTTGGGAGGCCGAGGTGGGCGGATCACAAGGTCAGGAGATCGAGACCATCCTGGCTAACATGGTGAAACCCCGTCTCTACTAAAAATACAAAAAAATTAGCTGGGCATGGTGTCAGGCACCTGTAGTCCCAGCTACTCAGGAGGCTGAGGCAGAAGGATGGCATGAACCTGGGAGGTGGAGCTTGCAGTAAGCCGAGATCGCGCCACTGCACTCCAGCCTGGGTGACAGAGCAAGACTCTGTCTCAAAAAAAAAAAAAAAAAAAAAAGAAAAGAAAACCTGAAAGATATGGTAACAGCTGAGTAGGAATGGCATTCACTCTTCAGCTGACCATATCCCCTTCCTGGCTCTCATTTTAATTTCTCATCTGGCTTCTGTAGCCATCTGAGTTCGCAAACCCTACTTACAAGACCTAAGGAGGAAAAGCACAACGTCAGCTGGTCCGGGTAGCCCCAGTGGCCAAACCCTGGTCCAGCTCTGGGTGTGAGCTAGGCCCCCTCACCTGGAAAGTCAGTGACAGCAGGGTCCGCCAGCCGCCCATAGCGTGCCATTAGTTTGAGCTTGGTCTCCTGTTTTCTGTGTTTCTTGCCCACATAATGTTGTTGAGCCATGACAGGGTCGTTGAAAGTTGCATGGCAGAGGCTGCAGAACTTGTCTGGGTCTATCATCTCTCTATTCTGGTGCAAGGCTAAGGTGGAGGCCACAAGGAAAGGATTTGTAAGGCGTTTTGACAGAGCTGCAGTGAGAGAGTTCAAACAGAAACAATGAAAAAACCCAGAAGGTGTCAGGCTTTTGAGTATGCTGAATAGAAAGGGCTGTGACACCAGTTAATCCTACTGCAGATGTGGCACTGCCTGTGTGAGTCACACAGGTGAATGCATTCTCTAATTGGGAAACCTGGGAAGATTTGAGGGAGCCCAAAGACTGGCTATTTCATTCAGCGGCTTTAACTACTTTAAGCCCACAAATCCTGGTGGTTCTCATATTCTTAGGAGGCCCTGAGCTTCTCCTGTCAGGCTGCCAAGTTACAATAGACTAGAGATGCACACTTGCACTCTTGCAGGGATACCTCAGTACTTCCCAGAACTTCACAGCAAGTGGGACACGAAGTTTGGGAGTTTTATTCTCATCCTTAAAGTAATACAGTTGCAGAGCTGGGAACAAATGCACAGATACAGAAATTGAGGCTTGAGTTCCTGGAGCTCATACAAGGTCATTCAGAAAAGGTAACCATACTAGGGATGCCTTTTAGGCTACATTGCATATTATAGGCTGAGTAGAGAGAAAAGAGGACCATTAACATTTAGTTATGCGTTTTGCTCACATCTGTAATCCTAGCACTTCAGGAGGCCAAGGCAGGCGGATCACGAGGTCAAGAGATTGAGGCCATCCTGGCCAACATGGTGAAACCCTGTCTCTCCTAAAAATTCAAAAATTAGCTGGGCATGGTGGCGTGTGCCTGTAATCCCAGCTACTTGGGAGGCTGAGGTAGGAGAATCACTTCAACCCAGGAGGCGGAGGTTGCAGCGAGCCGAGATTGCGCCACTGCACTCCAGCCTGGGCGACAAGAGCGAAACTCCACCTCAAAAAAAAAAAAATTAGTGATGTGTTTTCTACATATATTTTCTCCTTTGGTCCTCAGAACTACCCCAATGAGGTAGGTATCACTTTGCCACATTATTCAGAAAAACTGAGGCTCAGATGAGTGAAGTGGCTTGCCCAAGGTGACCCAGCCAGTGAGTGAAGCCAGGTCTGTGACCCTAAAGCCTGTGCTCTCTTTGCTATGCCAGGCTGCCAGTGTGGCAAGAAGACCTGAAGGCTATAGCTCTTACTTACGCCTTCAGAAAACATCCCTGATTCTGGCCAATGAATTCAGTGAATCAGAGCCTGGTATAGGCATACATGCGAGCCTCTTGTGCATCAACATATGGCTTGATGTTGACTCTAGGCTGCGCTGCTGCCTCATAAAGCGGATGCCACGACTCACTAACAAGTCCATGTGGCTGAAATGGTGTCAACCTAGCAACTACTGCTTTAAAAATGTGGGGCCCAGAAGCCCCCACCAGTGGTGGAGGACTGATGGGGCTCAGCAGGACTCACAGATGATATGTCTCAGATGCTCTTCCATACCTGTATCACTTCAACTGGGGAAGTTTTGAGGATTTTGGGCAAGCCAGAAGAAATTTGCTGGCCTTTCCCACAATGGTTTTTCTAGTATAGGGAATTTCAGTTTCTCTGCTTGTTGATTTTGTTTCAGCAAGTCATCAAAAAAGTAATGTACATGTTGTAGAATATTTTATAATATGAGAAAATATTCTGTTTGTGGTGTTGAGTGTAAAAAAAGCAAGTTACAGGCCAGGCGCAATGGCTTGTGCCTGTAATCCCAGCACTTTGGGAGGTTGAGGCAGGCAGATAATCTGACTCAGGAGTTCTGAGACCAGCCTGGCCAACATGGTGAAACTCAGTCTCTACTAAAAAAATACAAAATTAGCTGGGTGTGGTAGTGCATGCCTGTAATCCCAGCTACTCAGGAGGCTGAGGCAGGAGAACTGCTTGAACAGGTGGGCGGAGGCTGCAGTAAGCTGAGATTGCGCCATTGCACTCCACTCTGAGCGAAAAGAGTGAAATTCTGTCTCAAAAAAAAAAAAAAAGAAAAAAAAAGAAAAAAACAAGTTACACATCAATCTGCTTCTTATGTCCTCAATTTTATAGAACAACAACAAACGCATAGGTGACAGCATGGAAAAAAGATCAAAAGCACAGAGAGTAGAGTGTGTTTCACTATTTTCCGACTTTTCCTTTCTTTTTTTTCTTTTTGAGATGGAGTTTTGCTCTTGTTGCCCAGGCTGGAGTGCAATGGCACGATCTTGACTCACTGCAACCTCTGCCTCTGGGGTTCAAGCGATTCTCCTGCTTCAGTCTCCGAAGTAGATGGGATTACAGGCATACGCCACCATGCCCAGCTAATTTTGTATTTTTAGTAGAGATGGGGTTTCTCCATGTTGGTCAGGCTGGTCTCAAACTCCTGACCTCAGGTGATCCACCCGCCTCAGCCTCCCAAAGTGCTGGAATTACAGGCGTGAGCACCCGGCCTACTATTTTCCAACTTTTCTGTAATGAATGTAGATTTTTAACATCAGAAAAGAGGTATAATGGTTGTTAAGAGAGAACGGTCATTCTTTGAGATACTGAACAGAAGCATCAGAAGTGAAAGTGTAAGTAAGTCTAGAACCATTTAATGCGCATCCAATAAAATGAGGGATATAGAGTCTGTTCTCAGAAAATAACCTGAAATGTAATAAAGTGTTCTACAGAGATGTTCACTGTAGTGTTATCTGTAACACCAAAAAGTGGGGGGTGGGGAGATTAAATGTTCAGCATTAGACGAATATTAAATGTAGTACGATGCAGTCACTAAAAATGCTTATAAAGAATTTTTTAATAACATGGGGAAATACAAATGTCATATTAAATAAAAAACATATAGAAGGCAATTGTATGGCCAGGTGCGGTGGCTCATGTCTGTAATCCTAGCACTTTGGGAGGCAGAAGCGGGTGAATCACCTGAGATCAGGAGTTAGAGATCTGCCTGGCCAACATGCCGAAACCCCATCGCTAGTAATACAAAAATTAGGCAGGGCACGGTGGCTCATGTCTGTAATCCCAGAACTTTGGGAGGCTGAGGTGGGTGGATCACCTGAGGTCAGGAATTCAAGACCAGCCTGAGCAATATGTTGAAACCCTGTCTCTATTAAAAATGCAAAAATTAACTGGGCGTGGTGGCAGGTGCCGGTAGTCCCAGCTACTCAGGAGGCTGAGTCAAGAGAATTGCTTGAACCCAGAGGGTGGAGGTTGCAGTGAGTCAAGGTTGCACCACTGCACTCCAGTCTAGGCGACAGCAAAACTCCATCTCAAAAAAACAAAAAAACAACATTAGCCGGGTATGGTGGTGGGCACCTGTAATCCCAGCTATTCAGCAGGTGGAAGCAGGAGAATTGCTTGAACCTGGTGGGGCAGAGGTTGCAGTGAGCTGAGATTGCGCCATTTCACTCCAGCTTGGGCAAAAGAGGGAGACTCCATCTCAAAAAAAAAAAAAAACAAAAAACAAACAAACAAAAAAGGCAATTGTACATACCATACGGTAAGATCATTGTTTGAGGCCAGGAGTTCAAGACCAGCCTGGGCAACATAGTGAAACCCCGTCTCTAATAAAAACACAAAAATTGGCCAGGCGCGGTGGCACGCGCCTGTAGTCCCAGCTACTTGGGAGGCTGAGGCAGAAGAATCGCTTGAACCCAGGAGGCGGAGGTTGCAGTGAGCCGAGATCGTGCCACTGCACTCCAGCCTGGGTGACAGAGCAAGACTTCATCTCAAAATAAATAAATAAATAAATAAATAAATAAATAAAAATAAATAAAAAAATTTTAAAAACCCCACACGTGTAATCCATATGTGCATACTGGTATTTTAAAACATCACCAACATATTAACAGTATTTCTCTCTTGGTGTAGGATTTAGGTGATATTTTACTTTCTTCTTTGTATCTTTTGCAATTGTTTGAAGTGGAATTATTCATAATGAGTATGCATTGTTTTTATAAAAACATGAAAGTTATTTAAAGTAGTCTATGTTTATATGCACATATACACGGAGTTAACCTAGATATACACAAAACGAATATACACACAGATATACAAAGATACATATAACAATAAGATTATAGGAGAAACAGATTATAGGAGAAACCAAAATGTTAACAGTGTTTATCTGTGAATGGTAAAATTATGGGTAACTTTTCTTTCCATTTATCCATGTTTTCCTTATCTCTTACAACATGATTATATTACTTTACATTAAAAAGTGTTTAATTTCAGAAATATAGTTATAAAGTTGTGTAATAACATGGAAATGTGCTTAAGCTGTAAAATTAAATGAAAAGTAAAAGCGGGATATAAAGGGTACCTGCATTATGATCACAACTATATAAAAACAAAGTATGTGGCAAAAGCTGAAAGTGAATATGGAAAATAATCTCGAGTATGAAATTTCAGGGACAAGGCATAATGCAGAGAATTTTCCCATTTGTGGGAAGAGAAGTCTGTGACCTTATAAAATTGGTTTTTTTTTTTTTTTTTTTGAGACGAGGTCTTGCTCTGTCCCCCAGGCTGGTGTACAATGGTGCGATCTCAGCTCACTGCAACCTCCAGCTCCCGGGTTCAAGCGATTCTCTTGCCTCAGTCTCCCAAGAAGCTGGGACTACAGGCTCGTGCCACCACACCCAGCTAATTTTTGTTATTTTTAGTAGAGATTGGGTTTCACCGTGTTGACCAGGCTGGTCTTGAACTCCTGACTTCAAGTGATCTGCCCACCTCAGCCTCCCAAAGTGCTGGGATTACAACAGGCATGAGCCACCATGCCCGGCCTATGTCCTGTGTTTTTAATACACATTATTGTATCCTCACAACCGATGAAGTAGACAGTATTATTATCATTTTATAGGTTAGGCAGTTCAGACACAAAAAAGTCATATAAACAGTAACAGTGCCAGGCTTTAAACCTGGGACTCTGTGACTTCAAAGTCCACATTCTGCTGTTTCATACCATGAATAACTAGATGTGGGTGTGATAAAAAGGTGTAATTATGAGTGGCCAGGTGTGGTGGCTCATGCCTGTAATCCCAGCACTCTGGGAAGCTGAGATGGGAGTATCACTTAAGGCCAGGAGTTCAAGACCAGCCTGAGCAATATAGTGAGAAGCCATCTCTATTTAAAAAAAAAGGTTTTGGCCGGCGTGGTGGCTTATGCCTGTATTCCTAACACTTTGGGAGGCCGAGGCAGGTGGATCACGAGGTCAGGAGTTTGAGACCATCCTGGCTAACACAGTGAAACCCCGTTTCTACTAAAAAATACAAAAAAATTAGCTGGGCATGGTGGTGGGCACCTGTAGTCCCAGCTACTTGGGAGGCTGAGGCTGAAGAATGGCATGAACCTGGGAGGTAGAGCTTGCAGTGAGCCGAGATCATGCCACTGCACTCTAACCTAGGCAACAGAGCGAGACTCCATCTCAAAAAAAAAAAATTATGAGTGATTTTTCACCCTACCTTTGAAGGCTTCCAAAACACAGTTGTCAGTAAACACAAAAAGGATAATAGTATTACTAATAGTGTAGTCTACTTCTTGGTCCAAAATAGAGAAGCAAAAATTATCAAGAAAACAATGAAATAAACATCAAAGAACTTTCACTCTTGACTAATTGCAATTAGCAGAGGTTAAAACCCCAGAAAGTCAGGAGTTAATGAGATGAAAGTGAGGGCTGAGCCCTAGTCGTGACGAGATAAAGGGGGCTATTTCAGAAGTCACTGTACTGGGAATGAATTCATGGCAGTTACAGATTGTGGGGCAGTAGTAGCAGCACTGAAGTATTCAGCTTTGAAAGGCAAGTCCCTGTCTTGAGGAGAACAGGCAGCTTTTGAGGATTAAAGTGAGTAGGCCATAACCTGAGCATGTGAAAAAGACAAGGATTTAGCTTTCAACTTGGAACATGCAGTAATAAGGGCAGGTGGATGCTGGGATGGAAAAATCTAGTGGGAGAGGTAGGAGATAGAATGCTCTCATGGTATGCGTGGCCTGGAGGACTTTGGCACTCCTGAGTTATAATTATTAGTCAGGACAAAAGCTCAGCCTATAGAGAAAAACCTATAACCAAAGAAAGGGAGGTTAGGTGAGCATAATTCTGAGATTGCATTTCAGTGAAGCTGGGTCTACTTGGAGATTTTTAAGGGTTCTCAAAAGCAATTCAACTTCTTCAAGTCTGTGGCCTCAGTGAGGATCTCTGTGAGCCCCTGGCAGTAGTGCCCTGAGGACGGCAGGGGTCCCACTATAGCACTACTCAGGAAAACCAGTACCTTCCACCTTAGTGGACTGCTGCTTCAGCTTTAAGTTCTTTGCGTGGGTCTTCCCCAGGTAGTGCGACTGGGCCACGACAGGGGAGGAAAAGGTCATGTTACAGATGGGGCAGCACTGGTTCTTGTCTTTGCTTCTGCTGCTCTTCTGGTTGGAAGAAAGAACACAGGTCTGATCATACCACTGCCCCACCAGAAAATCTTCAATGGTTCCCCACTGCCCATAACAGAACAGGCATTTATGGCCCCCCTCACACATTAACCCCAACCTACTTTCTAGATTCTTCTCCAGCTACTTTGTCCCAGACTCTACTCACCATCCCCCACTTTATTCTCTGATGCTTCCTTGCTTTGCTTTGGCCATTCCTGCTGTCTAAAATGTGCTTCCTTCCTTTCCTGCTTGGCAGCGTGTCTGCTTAGCCTTCAAGACCCAATTTAAATATAAGCTTTTCCTCTGGGGGACTTTCTCTCAAAAAAAAAAAAACATCATTCAGTAAACAACTGTCAAGTCCCTTTGTGTATTCCAGGAAGAATTAACCCTGCTCCTCTTCTGTGCTCCCAGAGTACATTAAATAGACCTCTGTCATACCACTTGCCACCCTAAACTGACAGTGTCATAGCTTAGGAGACTTTTCTGTGAACTCAAGTGTGACATTGGAACACGGACTATTTGACTCATTTTTGTTTCTTATCCTTCACACCCAGCTGGAGTCTGGCACACAGTAGATGCTCAGAGTTTGCTGAACAAGTGGACCATTAGGTTTTTTTTTTTTAAGACAGGGTCTCACTCTGTTGCCCAGGCTGGAGTGCAGTGGCACGATCTCGGCTCACTGCAACCTCCACCTCCAGGGCTCAAGCAATTCTCCCACCCACCCCTGCAAGTAGCCAGACTACAGGAATATGCCACCACACCCGGCTAATTTTTGTATTTTTTATAGAGACGGGGTTTCACCATATTGCCTAGGGTGGTCTCGAATTCCCAAGCTCAAGCAATCCGCCTGCCTCAGCCACCTAAATTGCTAGGATTACAGGTATGAGCCACCGCACCCAGCCTCCCATTGCGTTCTACTTGTTGATTATGATTAGGCTAGGAAACCATGTATTTCAAGACTACATAAAGGGATCCCAGCATCTCTCTCAGAAAGCCTGATCTCTGAATAGGGTGCAAATATGTAAAATAACTTGCCCAGGGTCATAGAGTTTATCTTGCCTTTCTGAATTATAAATTGTGAGAAAAGGGCCAGGTGTGGTGGCTCATACCTGTAATCCTGGTACTTTGGGAGCCTGAGGTGGGAGGATCACTTGAGACCAGGAATTTGAGACCAGCCTGGGCAACAAAGCGAGACCCTGTCTCTACGAAAAATTTTTTAAAAAATCAGCCAGGCGGCTGGGCGCAGTGGCTCACACTTGTAATCCCAGCACTTTGGGAGGCTGAGGCAGGCAGATCACTTGAGATCAGAGGTTTGAGACCAGCCTGGCCAACCTGGTGAAACCCTATCTCTACTAAAAATACAAAAATTAGCTGGGTGTGGTGGCGCGTGCCTGTAGTCCCAGCTACTTCAGAGGCTGAGGCAGGGGAATCGCCTGAACCCAGGAGGTGGAGGTTGCAGTGAGCTGAGATCGTGCCACTGCACTCCAGTTAGCCAGGCGTGGTGGTGTGTGCCTGTAGTCCTAGCTACTTGGGAGGTTGAAGTGGGAGGATCACTTGAGCTTGGGAGGTTGAGGCTGCAGTGAGCCGTGACTGCACCACTGCACTCCAGCCTGGGTAACAGAGCCAGGTCCTGTCTCACAAATAGACAGATAGAGAAATAGAAAGGAGGGAAACCAGGGATAAATAAATAAATAATAAGGGAAACCAGGGGATGAGTCCAGTAAATTTTGAGAAGAGATAAACAAGGACCTTCCTGACCTGTGGCTACTATAATAGGAGGTAGCAGTCTATAGAGTAAACTCTTATTTATTGAGCATCTACTAGGAATTGAAATTTTACCTCACAATACCCTTAAGAAGTAGGCATTATCTCTACTTTATGGGGGAAGTTCACAGAGGTTAAGTGACTTGGCCAAACTCACCCGATCAGTAAGACACACAGCCAGCTTTGAGCCCTAGTCTGCTTAACTTCTCTTCCCATGATGAGATGGTACTCCTGAGGGATTGGGGGTTGCTTCAGCATAATGCTCATATTATTTCTGAGCCAAAAAGCACATGTGATCACCTCTCAATCACAGCAGACATTTGGAAAGGTGTTCCTTCTGCTTATTTATGCAAAACATTCAAGTGCTGAACTTAGTTCTTTTCCTTGGCCCTCAAGAAAGCAAGCAGCCTGGCTTCTTTCCATTTTCTCTTGTCTTGCTCTAACAAACCACTAGGCGGTAATATGTAATACCAGCTCCATTACTGAGTCCCTACTATGTGCCAGGCTCTGAATTGGGTGCTTTTTATAAATCTGCCCTCAATTTTAGTTCTAAAAAATCCTGAAAGGTAGTTGATATTACCATCCTCATTTTTATAGAGGAAGAAATCAAGGCTTTGTGAAGTAATAGACTTGCCCGAGTCACACAACAGGGCCAGGATTTGAAGCCAAGACAGTCTGACTTGTTCACCACACCAACCTGCTGGCTGGCTTCATCATGAAGCAAGTGGGCTCAATATGGCAGCTGTATTACCTGATCTGAGTCTAGCTTCTTCGTTTCCCCCTTTAATGTCTCCATTCCATGGATTGCTAGGTATCTCTTCACTTTGTTGGCATGTTTTTTGCTCTGCAAAAACCCAGGAGAAAGATCAAAGATAGCCAAATGCTACTTCATACTTAAGGCACTCAAAAACACTTATGAGATTTTCATCTGATTCATCCTCACAAAAAGTTTTGAGGAGGAGGTGAGGGAAGTTTGAGTTCCTGCTCTGTGCAAGGCATTTTACAGCTACCAAATTTAATCTTCACAATCTATGAGAAAATTATGACCATTTCTATTTTATGGATGAGGAAACTACATCTAAAAATGATGAAGTTTCTTGCTCAAGATGAGTAGCAGAGTTTTGATTTAAAGTCAGATCTATTTAAAGCCAAAGCTCATACTTTATGCTATGCCAAGCTGCAAGGGAAGATACACATATAATGATCCTGATTTGGATGGGGGAGATGAGACTCAAGGAGATTAAGTCAATCTTCAAGTCACAAGCCAACATGCATGGAGGCAACATCTGGGTGGCTAAGCAGCAATTACACTTCACCATGCAAGCCAGAGAGAATTAGTGGTTTGGCACCAGGTCTGAAAAGAAACGCAGTTCTAAAAGTATGATGGCATACCTGGTAATGTGCCAGCTTCTGGGACTCAGAAATAAGCAAGGCGCAGCAAACCTTACACTGGGTGTTGGTGAAGAGACATTGGTTCTTCTGGATCATGTGCTCCACTATAGAGGGGAAAACAAGAAATCATTGAGTTGACAAACACTACCTCAACAGCACTGCCTTTGAACCCTGCCTCAAACACAGGCACTGAATGATGGGATGCCATACTAGGACACTGGCAGACCTCAGCCAGCCTTTCCTACTGCCACCGTGACTCATGCTGTGTTCTCACACCACCTACACTATTACTTATTTTATAATTTTATGTATGCCAACTTTCTTTACTTAGGAACTTCTTTTAAAAAGGAATCTTTAGATCATAAACTTAAGCAGATACCAATAAAAATAAATATGATAAAAATGAGGCTTGGAGCATTCCCCAGGAAGAAGAGAACAGCAACTGTGCTGAGAGGTTTTAAGATATGGTAGCACCCAACTGAAACTTCTTCCCAGATAGAATCAGGAGGACTGAAAGACTCGAAAAAGGAATACTTTTCTCATTGTTCTTGATCTGACTTTGAAACATTTAAAATCACATAACAGGGTGGGGCGTGGTGGCTCACGCCTGTAATCCTAGCACTTTGGGAGGCCGAGGTGGGCAGATCACCTGAGATCAGGAGTTCGAGACCAGCCTGGCCAACATGGTGAAACCCTGTCTCTACTAAAAATACAAAAATTAGCCAGGTGTGGTGGCAGGCACCTATAATCCCAGCTACTCGGGAGGCTGAGGCAGGAGAATTGTTTGAACCCAGGAGGCAGAGGTTGTAGTGAGCTGAGGTTGTGCCACTAACTCCAACTTGGGTGACAGAGCTAGACTCTGTCTCTAAATAAATAAATAAAATAAAATCACATAACGTATTATATAAGTGCCACACTATATGAAACATGGTATTAACCTGTGCTTAAATTATTGTGCCTGGAGAACAGTCTTACCTTTTTGAGAAGAGAAGAGGAGGTAAAATCTCTCCCAAGGCATAAGTTCATTTTTGTTTGTTTTTTTTTTTTTTGAGAGGGAGTCTCGCTCTGTCACCCAGGCTGGAGTGCAGTGGCATGATGTCGGCTCACTGCAAGCTCCGCCTCCCAAGTTCACACCATTCTCCTGCCTCAGCCTCCCGAGTAGTTGGGATTACAGGCACCCACCACCACGCCCAACTAATTTTTTTGTATTTTTAGTAGAGACGGGGTTTCATCGTGTTAGCCAGGATGGTCTCGATCTCCTGACCTCGTGATCCACCCACCTTGGCCTTCCAAAGTGCTGGGATTACAGGCGTGAGCCACCGCGCCCGGCCAAGGCATGAGTTCTATCATGGCGCTGGCAATGTGAGGCAGAGGCAGAGGCAGAGTCTAAAACTGGGAGAGGAGGGCAGGCCCACATTTTTAATCTCCTGGTCTCAGCCAAAAAGTGGTCAAGGCTAGGCACAGTGGCTCACACCTGTAATCCCAGCATTTTGGGAGGCTGAGGTGGGAGGATGGGTTGAGCCCAGGAGTTTGAGACCAGCCTGGGCAAGATGGTGAGACTCTGTCTCTACATAGAAACAAACACACCAACAAACCAAAAACTAGCCGGGGGTGGTGGCACATGCCTGTGGTTCCAGCTTCATGGGAGGCTAAGGCTGAGACAGAGACAGAAGGATTGCTTGAGCTCAGGAGGTCAAGGCTATGGCAAGCCATGTTAGTGCCACTGTACTCCAGCCTGGATAACAGAGCAAGCCCCTGTCTTAAAAAAAAAAAAGTCGATGCCCTGGAAGAGGTTCTTGGTGGGGAGCTTTTAAGATGTCTCTCCTTAATCCACAAAATCTAAAGCTTACCTATGTCAGCCCTTTTAGGCAGAAGGGCTGTATTTCTGCCCCTAATGATCTCTTTTTATTTCTGCATTTTTCTTTTAAATGGTAAATTTTTGTGAAAGACCTTGCCTGTCTTAGCTATGCTCTGAAAAACCAAGAGAAATGACTCTATAAACAAAATTGGCCCAGAACTTTTAAAAGAGGGTCAGAGGTGGCCAGGCACGATTGGTAATGCCTGTAATCTTAGCACTTTGGGAGGCCAAGGTGGGTGGATCATCTGAGGTCAGGAGTTTGAGACCAGCCTGGCCAACATGGTAAAACCCCATCTCTACTAAAAATACAAAACTAGCCGGGTGTGGTGAAGCATGCCTGTAATCCCTGCTACTTGGGAGACAGAGGCAGGACAATCACTTGAACCTGGGAGGCAGAGGTTGCAGTGAGCCGAGATTGTGCCATTGCACTCCAGCCTGAGCAACAGCAAAACTCGGACACACACACACACACACACACACACACACACACACACAAGAAGAAGAAGAAAAAAGAAGAAAAAAAAGAGGGTCAGAGGCTTCTCACAATAAGAAACCCACATGGGGAAGGTAATACCCAGGGGTCAGAGTTCAGTCATCACTTCCTCACCTGGAGATTGTGGATTTTGTTTTGTTCAAGAGATGAGGTTTCAAGCATATTCAGAATCAGACTCCCAAACCCACAGCAAGGGCAGGTAAGCACCTGCTAAATAAATGTACCTCTCTGCTGGAATGCACTCTCTGGCCTTAGAGAGTACATTCACATAGTCCACACAAATATATTTATAATACGTGCTTTGTGTCAACACTGCACTTAGTGCTGGGGGCCATACCAACAAAGAAGATGGGGTATAAAGTAAAAAATAAGCAAGACAATGACAGAGAATTAGAAATGCTATGAAAACAAGCAGAGTACGGGGTAGAGAATGACGGGGCAGGAGAGTTAGTAAAGACCATCACAGGGCCGGTTGTGGTGGCTCACACCTATAATCCCAGAAACTCAACAGGCTGAGGCAAGAGGATTGCTTCAGCCCAGAAGTTTCAGACTGTCCTGGGCAACACAGGGAGAGCCACATCTCTACAAAAATTAAAAAACACACACACACAAAAAAAAAAAACGTAGTTGGGCATGGTGGCGCATGCCTGTAGTCTTAGCTATTCAGGAGGCTGAGGTGGGAGAATCCCTTGAGCCTAGAAGTTTGAAGCTTCAGTGAGCCGTGAATGTGCCACTGCACTCCAGCCTAGGCAACAGAGAAAGACTTTGACTCTGAAAATTTAAAAAAAAAAAAAAAAATCATCATGGGGAAGTGTCAGCCACAAGGCTTACAGGAAAAGAGTGTTCCAACCTGAAACAGTATTAAGTCTGTGAGGCAGGGATGAGTTTGGCATATTCCATGTTCAAAGAATGGAGAGAAGCCCACTATGCCTGGAATATGGTGAATGAGAGAAGAATGGTAGGAAATTAAGTTGGAGAGACAGCATGAGGCCTAGTAGATGATGTTGAATGAATATAAGGCTCCATAAGCCACAGTATGAACTACGGATTTTATTGTTAGTGTAATGAGAGGTGACAAGATCTGGTTTGCCCTTGAAAAGATTACTCTGACAGTTGTTGTCAACAGACTGTATGGGGACAAGAATGGAAGCAGAAAGAACAAGGAGAAGGCTGCTGTAGTCTTCAGAGAATAGATGATGGAAGCTTGGACTAGGCAGGTTGTCAGTGGAGATGGAGAAAAGTGAATGAATTTGGAATTATGTTCCGGCAATAGGTTTGACATCTGATTTCTTAGACTGGATGTGGGGGTGGGAGTGAAGGAAGGAAAGGAGTCAAGGATAACTCCTAGGTTTTGAACTTGAACAAGTGAATAGATTAGAACTAGGGGAAGATAGCCTTGGAGGAAAAATTAAAGACTTTTCGTTATGTGAGTGTGAGTAGTCTATCAGATATATAGGTGGAGATGAGTTGGAGATTCAGATCTGTCAGTCACTTGAAGCTCAAGGGGGAGGTCAGAGCTGGAGATATAAATGGGGAATCATTGGTATATCAATCATATTGAACACTGTGGGGCTGGAAGAGATTGCCTAGCGTAGATGAAGAAGGAAAGAGGTTCAGAGACTGAGCCTTGGGACCCTCCCAATTTTGAAGTCAGGCAGAGGAAGCGAAGTTGAATATAAAACAAAGTGAGTACAGGGTGGAACTTCTGGCCAAGGCAGAGTGAGGAGATCTCCTGCAGAAGCAACAATAAAACAGGACAAAACTGACAAAACCGGACAAAACTGACAAAACCAACCACTTCAGCACTCTGGAAGTTAACCAAAGGGACTTAACAATCCGAGAGCAATTTTGTGCTTGCAAAACTGCTGAACTTCAGGTAAGAACAGTAGGAATCAGCGGCTTTTTTTTTTCCCCAGATGGGGAAAAACAAACAAACAAACAAAACCTCAGGGTTTCCCAGGCTGCAGTGCCCACACTGGAGTGCAGTGGCATAATGTCAGCTCACTGTAGCCTCAATTTCCCAGGCTCAGGTGAGGCTGCTCTCAGCCCTTCCTGCAATCGGTGTAGAAACTCTGGCAAGAAGGTGCTAGCCATGAAAACAAATAGCTTCCATACAGAAGGAAGGAAATCACTTGATTTCCTTTACATGTAGCAATATTGTTGATGGAAATGATGATCTCCAAGGCAGTAAGCAGGAAGAGTGAAAGGCTTCACTGGCCGGAGGTGTGCTCATGGTTGGGGCAAGTGTGTTCCTGGCTGAGACTGTGTGACAGCGGAGACCTGAGAGGGCCCAAGTTAGCCACATACTCATGGCCACCCTGAGGCTGCGTACACACACAAAAGAGATGCAAAAGGACCTCGTGGGAAGGGTAGATCTCAAAATGACTTGAACTTTGATTATGCTTCCCTACCAACACACAGATCCAACAATACAAAATCAAGGGCTTATAGGCTCCAGGTGTTTAGAACAAGATCTTGTTGAATCCCTAGTTAATCTGACCACTAAGCAACATAAACACATTAAAGTAGAAATTATAAAAGGGAACCAAATTGGGAATGTTTGCTTTTAAAGCCTTTGCCCACCATGTAAGCAGTCTGACTGCTCTGAGGCCACCAAGCTGTGAGAAACCCCAGACTATTTCATGCATCAAGACCACATGGAGAGTTCCTGACACCACATGAAAAGAGAGATGTCTGGCCAGCCCCCAGAGGCTCCACCCCGCTGTTGTTTCAGCTCTAGCTCCCAGATGCTCCATTTCCCTGCTGTTTCAACTTGAGCCACCATCTGACTGCAACTGCATAAGAGACCCTGAATCAGAACTATCCAGCCAAGCCTTTCCCAAATTCCTGGCCCACAAAAACTGAGAGGTTTATGAGGTTGGAGGAAGCTAAGGCCCACAGAGGGAAAAAAAAAAAAAACTTGGATAAAATTGTCAATTAGGCCGGGTGCGGTAGCTCACGCCTGTAATACCAGCACTTTGGGAGGCAGAGGCGGGCGGATCACGAGGCCAGGAGTTCAAGACCAGCCTGGCCAACATAGTGAAACCCTGTCTCTACTAAAAATACAAAAAAGTTTAGCCCCAGGGCATGGTGGCAGGTGCCTGTGTCCCAGCTACTTGGGAGGCTGAGGCAGGAGAATCGATTGAACCCAGGAGGCGGAGGTTGCAGTGAGCCGAGATCATGCCACTGCACTCCAGCCTGCGCGACACAGTGAAACTGTCTCAAAAAAAAAAAAAAAAAAAAAAGTCAATTAGCCGGGTGTGATGGTAAGGCACTTGTAATTCCAGTTACTCGGGAGGCTGAGACAGGAGAACTGCTTGAACCCGGGAGGCGGAGGCTGCAGTCAGCCAAGATTGCGCCATTGCACTCCAGCCTGGGCAACAGGAGTAAAACTCTGTCTCAAAAAAAAAAAAAAATTGTCAAAATTCTGAGATGGCAGCCTGACTACACATCCTTTTTGCCATGATATCTGCACACAACTTTAATCCAACTACCAACTATCTCTCCAGGGTGCAAAAGATTTGATATGGAAAATGAGGTGCTTTTCATTCATTCACTGGAGAGGCAGGGCGTGGTGGCTCAGCCTGTAATCCCAACACTTGGGAAGGCCAAGGCAGGTAGATTGCTTGAGGCCAGGAGTTTGAGACCAGCCTCGCCAACATGGCAAACCCCCGTCTCCACCAAAAATAAAAAAATTAGGCAGGCATGGTGCTATGTGCCTATAATCCCAGCTACTTGGGAGGCTGAGGCACAAGAATCACTTGAACCCAGGAGGTGGAGGTTGCAGTGAGCCAAGATCGTGCCACTACACTTGAGCCTGGGCGACAGAGTAAGACTCCATCTCAAAAAAAAAAAAGAAAAGAAAAGAAAAGAAAAAGAAAATCACTAGAGAGGCTGAAAGTATGATACTAGGTTGGGCCTCCAGAAACATCTCCAGGAATAATGCATACATGTTCCAATAGGTGACCTACAGTCTCTGAGGCTCCTTCACAGCTCTGCTGGAAGCAAGATGCTTTGACTGTAACAACTTCTCTCTCAACCTATGAAGCTGGACAACGGATGCTGGAAAACTGATGTAGTTCCATGACCTTTTTTGACAGCAACAATAGCCAAGAGGCACAGAAGTATGGTCTTTACTGCATTTCTGCATTCTACATCCTATGAGATGTTACGTATTCACAGGATTTAATTTATATCCACATGATAGCCAAGTAAAAGATGTATGGGGCAGAGGCTGAGAGATGCCATCTAGAGTATGAAGCACAGGGCTGCTTTTCACAGGGTCGATGAAGTAGGAACACAGAGAACTTTTGTGGGACAGCAAGATAATTAATAAACTTAACAAATTTAAGGGTTGGGTGTGATGGTTCATGCCTATAATCCCAGCACTTTGGGAGGCTGAGGTGGAAGGACCGCTTGAGCCCAGGAGTTCAAGAACCAGCCTGGGCAACATAGTGGGACCCTGTCTTTACAAAAAACCAAAAAAGATTAGCTGAGTGTCGTGGTGCACACCTACAGTCCCAGCTACTTGGTAGGCTGAGGTGGGAGGATCGTTTGAACTTGAGCCCAGGAGGTCAAGGCTGCAGTGAAGTGAGCTGTGATCACACCACTGCACTTCAGCCTCCATCCTGGGTGACACTGCAAGACCTTGTCTCAAAATTAAAAAAAAAAAAAAGAAAGAAAGGAAATTTAAGCCAGGTGTGGTAGCCTGCATGCACTTGTAGTCCCAGCTATTCAGGAGGCTGAGGTGGGAGGATCATTTGAGCCAGGAGTTCGAGACCAGCTTAGACAACATGGTGAAACCCCATCTCTATAAAAAACTACAAAAAATTAGCTGGGTATGGTGGTGCACACTTGTTATCCCTGCTACTCAAGTGGCTGACGTGGGAGGATCACCTGAGTTTGGGAGCTCGAGGCTACAATGAGCCAGGATTGCACTGCTATGCTCCAGCCTTGGTGAGGGAGTGAGACCCTGTCTCAAAAATGACTTGCTATTCCTTAGGCCTACATGTGACCTTAGAATCTACAATTGAGCTCTGTATAAATTCATCAACTGGGCCAGGTGCGGTGGCTCACGCCTGTAATCCTAGCACTTTGGAAGGTCGAGGTGGGTGGATCACGAGGTCAGGAGATCGAGACCATCCTGGCTAACATGGTGAAACCCCATCTCTACTAAAAATACAAAAAATTAGCCATGTGTGGTGGCGGGTGCCTGTAGTCCCAGCCACTCAGGAGGCTGAGGCAGGAGAACGGCGTGAACCCAGGAGGCGGAGCTTGCAGTGAGCAGAGATCATGCCACTGCACTCCAGCCTGGGCTACAGAGTGAGACTCCATCTCAAAACAAAACAAAAACAAAAACAAAACAAAACAAAACAAAAAAATTCGTCAACTGACTGAAGGTGATCCTTAGGAAGATGAAACCTATTTACTACCCAGCTTATTAGGAGGCAAAGGGTTTTTAGGTATAGCTATAGTCAGAAAGCAGAAAATAAAAGATCCTAGGGCTGGGTCAGTGGCCCACGCCTGTAATCTGACACTCTGGGAGACTGAGGCTAGAGGATTGCTTGATGCCAGGAGTTTGAGACCAACACAGGCAGCAAAGTGAGACCTCATCTTTACAAAAAAAATTAAAAAATTATCCAGGTGTGGTGGCACACGCCTGTAGTGCTGGTTACTAGGGAAGCTGACATGGGGGAAATCACTTGAGTCTAGCAGTTCGAGGCTCTGGTGAGCCATAATTGCGCCACTGCACTTCAGCTGGGTGACAGAGCAAGATCCCCCATCTCAAAAGCAAAAACCCCTCAAACAATCATAGGAAAGGGAGGTTGGGTATAATCTACCCATGGATGAGAATGGTTAGACAATGTAGTATTTTAATGGGCAGTATGGCCTAAAAGAATGAACAAGACGGTCCTATTAAGTCTACTTAGCACTGGTACTTCCATTTTGTGAGTCCATACTGTGTTTTTGTTTTTAATTTAATTTTTTAGAGTCAGAGTCTCATTATGTTGCCTAGGCTGAATTCAGACTCCTGGCCTCAAGTGATCCTTCTGCATCAGCCTCTCAAGCAGCTGGGACTACAGGTGTGGGCCACCATGCCTGGCCAAATCCATACTGCTGATGGTCTCAAGAAGCTCAAATTTCTATCCAATGAAAAGGGCATGAAGAGGCCGGGCATGGTGGCTCACACCTGTAATGTCAGCATTTTGGGAGGCCGAGGCGGGCGGATCACCTGAGGTCAGGAGTTTGAGACCAGGCTGGCCAACGTGGTAAAACCCCATCTCTATTAAAAAGTGCAAAAATTAGCCAGGTGTGGTAGAGGGCTGGTAATCCCAGCTAACTCAGCAGGCTGAGGCAGGAGAATCGCTTGAACCCAGGAGGTGGAGGTTGCAGTGAACTGAGATTGTGCCATTGCACTCCAGCCTGGGTGACAAGGGCGAAACTCTGTCTCAAAAAAAAAAAGCTGCGTGCAGTGGCTCATGCTTGTAATCCCAGCATGCCAAGACTGCGCCACTGCACTCTAGCCTGGTGACAGAGCAAGACTCTGTCTAAAAACAAAAACAAAAACAAAAAAAGGCTGGGTGCAGTGGCTCACGCCTGTAATCCCAGCACTTTAGGAGGCCAAGGTGGGTGGATTACCTGAGGTCAGGAGGTCAAAACCAGCCTGACCAACATAGTGAAACTCCATCTGTACTAAAAACACAAAAAATTAGCCAGGTGTGGTGGCGCATACCTATAATCCCAGTTACTCGGGAGGCTGAGGCAGGAGAATTGCTTGGATCTGGAGGCAGAGGTTGCAGTGAGCTGAGATTGTGCCATTGCACTCCTGGGCAACAAGAGTGAAAATCCATCTCAAAAAAAAAAAAAAAAAAAAAAAAAAGAAAAAAGAAAAGGCATGAAGAAAGCAAATGTAAGGGTACTGATGATCTGCTACTAATAAAACAAACAAATGGAAATTCTGGAGTTGAAATTATAATACAATAAATTTGCTGGAGGAGCTCAACAGCAAGTTCAAAATGGCAGAAGAATCAGTGAACTTGAAGATACAGCAATAGAAATAGCTGATCTGAAGAACAAAGAGAAATAACATTGAAGAATAATGAACAAAGCTTCAGAGATTATGGAAAAACTTCAAGCATACTAACATATGTGTAAGGAGAGCCTCAGAAGAAGAGAGAAGAGAGAGAGAGTAGAAAAAAATATTTGAAGAAAATGTCCAAAAACCTCCCATATTTGATGAAAAACATTAATCTACACATTCCAAAATCTCAAGGAACCCAAACTAGGAAAAATGTGAAGAGAGCTACACCTAGACACATCACAAACTGTTGAAAGGCAAAGACAGAAAATCCTGAAAGCGGTGAGAGAGAGAGAAAAATGACTCATCATGTACAGTGAAATAATTCAATTAATGACAACTTCTTATTTGAAAACAATTAAGGCCAGAAGGCACTGGAATGACATATTCAAAGTGGTGAAAAAGAATAAAAATGTCAACTAAGAATTCTATATCCAGCCAAATGATCCTGCAAACATTACACTAAGTGTCCAGGCGCAGTGGCTCATGCCTGTAATCCCAGCACTTTGGGAGGCCAAGGCGGCAGATCACCTGAGGTTGAGAGTTTGAGACTAGCCTTGCCAACATGGAGAAACCCTGTCTCTACTAAAAATACAAAATTAGCTGGCTGTGGGGCGCATGCCTGTAATCCCAGCTACTCGGGAGGCTGAGGCAGGAGAATGGCGTGAACCCAGGAGGCGGAGCATGCAGTGAGCCGAGATCGCGCCACTGCACTCCAGCCTGGGCGACAGAGCGAGACTCTGTCTCAAAACAAAATAAAACAGAAAAAAGAGAATCGCTTGAACTCTACAGGCAGAGGGTGCAGTGAGCCTAGATCATGCCATTGCACTCCAGCCTGGGCAACAAGAGCAAAATGTCGTCTCAAAAAAAAACCAAAAAAAAAAAAAAAAAAAATTACACTAAGCGAAAGAAGCCAGTCACAAAAATGCCACATATTTATACAATTCTATTTACATGAAATGTCCAGAATAGGCATCAATCCATAAAGAGAGGAGATAAGTCGTTGCCAGGGATGATTGCTCCTAGGTATAGGGTTTCTTTATTGGGGTGATGAAAATGTTCTAAAATTAGACAGTGGTGATGGTTGCAGAACTCTGTGAATATACTAAAAACCACAGAATTGTACATTTTAAACAGGTGAATTTTATGGAATGTGAGATTTACGTCAATAAAGCTGTTATTTAAAAATGAAATAGCCAGGCATGGTGGCTCACGCCTATAATCCCAGCACTTTGGGAGGCTGAGGCGGGCGGATCACGAGGTCAGGAAATCGAGACCATCCTGGCTAACACGGTGAAACCCCATGGCACGGCACCACCATGCCCGGCTAATTTTTGTATTTTAGTAGAGATGGGGGTTTCACCATATTGGCCATGCTGGTCTTGAACTCCTGCCCTCAAATGATCCACCCGCCTCGGCCTCCCAGTGCTGGGATTACAGGCGTGAGCCACCGCCCCCAGCCCAGTTGCACTACATTTAAAAGGACTGAACTCATCTCAAGTATATTCTTTGAACGCAATGGAATTTAATCAGAAATCAACAATAGGAAGAAATCTGGGAAATCCTCAAATATTTAGAAATTGAATAACATGTATCAAAGAAGAAATTTTACAAGGGAAATTAGAAATTATTTTGAACTGATTTAAGTGAAAATAAAACATTCAAAAATTTATGAGTTGCAACTAAAGCAGTGCTCTGGAGAAAAAAAACTCAGTTTATCCTACTTTACTTTTACAATACAGAACGCTTCTGTGACCATATGTGTGGGTTTTCTCCTCCCAGAAACCAAGCACTCAATTCTGCAGTGGACACCAGTTGGTGTCCCCTAATTCAAATCAATTCTGACACTATCTACCTGGAGACAGCTTCAGATCCTACAGGTTGAGGGCTTATTCCTACAAGACTGAGCCCTACTTCTGATGCCAATTGCAGGTTCCACATTCTTTCACCTGTTTTTCTGACCAACCGGCTATAAATCGAGGTTTCCATGACACCCCTGGATTCAATTAATTTGCTAGAGCAGCTCACAGAACTCAGGGAAAAACCAGGGGAGAAGTAACACGCAAGACCCAGCAAGCGTGTGAATGTGTAAGATCCCAAGTCAAAGGTCAAACCGCCTACTTGTCTCTCTCAAGTCGCCATCTTGGTCCTCTTCCAAGTATACTTTACTTCTTTTCATTCCTGCCCTAAAACTTTTTAATAAACTTTCACTCTTGCTCTAAGAGTTGCCTTGGTCTCTCACTTTGCCTTATGCCCCTTTGGTTGAATTCTTTCTTCTGAGGAGGCAGAAATTGAGATTCATGGCCACTAACATTCTTGCCTTGGCCTCTCAAAGTTTTGGAATTACAGGCAGGAGCCACTGGGTCAGGCCAACCTAAAAGATATGTTAAAGGATACAAATAGATAAAGAGATACATACGGCCAGGTCTGGAAGGGTCTAATGTGTAGGAGCGTCTATCCCCATGGAATTGGGGTGTGCCACACTTCCAGCACATGAATGTGTTCTTGTTCACCTTCCTGGAAGCCCCTAAACTGAGGTCTTTGGGTTGTTATGAAGGCTTCATTACATAGGCATGGTTGATTAAATCACTGGCTATCGGTGATCAATTCAACCTTCAGCTCCTTTCTACCCTCTCAAGATGGGGGGCTGTAACTTCCAAGCCTCTGAGCACATGGTTGGTTCCTATGGCAACCAGCCAACCAGAATGTGGTAATCTAGGGACTTCTCAAAAATCACCCTATTAACATGTACCAAGGTGTGGCTGAAAGGGGCTTGTTATATGGCCGGGTGCGGTGGCTCACGCCTGTAATCCCAGCACTTTGGGAGGCCGAGGAGGGCAGATTACGAGGTCAGGAAATCGAGATCAGCCTGGCTAACATGGTGAAACCCCGTCTCTACTAAAAATACAAAAAATTAGCCAGGTGTGGTGGTGGGCGCCTATAGTCCCAGCTACTTGGGAGGCTGGGGCAGGAGAATGGCATGAACCTGGGAGGCGGAGCTTGCAGTGAGCCGAGATCGCACCACTGCACTCCAGCCTGGGCAACAGAGCGAGACTCCATCTCATAAAAAAAAAAAAAAAAAAAAAAAAAAAAGAAAGGGGCTTGTTATAAATAACAAAAGTCTGTTTTTCACCTTTCTTGCTCTGGAGCAGTTCCAGAGGTGTTTCAGGAAGCAAGGACAAAAGGCCAAATATTTTAACAGAAGATACTCTTACTGCTTTAGTCACTGAGGAAAGTACAAGGGTTATAGAAGCTGTGAGCCAGGAACTATGGAGGGAAATATATATATATATATATATATATAAAACGTCACAAGTGCTTAAGAGAGAAATTTATAATTTTAAACATCTACATCAGAAAAGAAGGATCTCAAATCACTCAAATCAGCAACATAAGATCTTACCTTAGAAACTAGAAAAGATCAAGAAAATGACAAATTCTTAGCTAGACTAACCAAGAAAATAATCAGGGACCTCACATCTGTAATCCCAGTGCTTTGGGAAAGCAGAGGCGGACAGATCACTTTAGAGTTCGAGGAGTTCAAGACCAGCCTGGCCAACACAGTGAAACCCCGTCTCTACTAAAAATACAAAAAAGTTAGCCGGGCATGGTGACACATGCCTGTAATCCCAGCTACTCGGGAGGCTGGGGCAGGAGAATTGCTTGAACCTGGGAGGCGAAGGCTGCAGTGATCATTACTGCACTCCAGCCTGGCAAGACCCCGTCTCAAAAAAAAAAAAAAAAAAAAAAAAAAAAAAAAGTGACACAAGGAGAAACAAAATATTCTGTGTACACTTAAAACAAGTAAAGAAAATGAATAATCAAATACCTTTCCACAAAGAAAAGCCGAAGCCAGCTGGGTGCCATGGCGCATGCTTGCCTATAATCCTAACCCTTTGGGAGGCTGAGGCAGGAGGATCACTAGAGGCCAGGAGTTTCAGACCAGCCTGGGCAACAGAGCAAGACCCTCTATTTAAAAAAACACAAAAATTAGCTGGGCATGGTGGTATGCCCTTGCAGTCCTAGCTTTGAGTTTGAAGGAGTCTGAGGCTGCAGTGAGCTATGATTGTGCCACTGCACTCTAGCCTGGGCAACAGAGACCCTGTCTCTAAATAAATAAATAGAGAATTTAAAAAAAAAAAAAGGAAAGGAAGAAAGAAAAGCTTAGGCCCAGGTAGCTTCACTGGTGATAACTTTTTTTTTTTTTTTTTTTTGAGACAAAGTCTCAACTGTGTTGCCTAGACTGGAGTGCAGTGGCACAATCTCGGCTCACTGCAACCTTAGCCTCCTGGGTTCAAGCGATTCTCGTGCCTCAGCCACCTGAGTAGCTGGGATTACAGATGTGAGCCACCACACCTGGCTAATGTTTGTATTTTTACAAAAACACAAATTTTACAAAAATTTACAGGGTTTCTCCACGTTGCCCAGGCAGGTCAGAAAATAACTTTTATCGGCTGGGCGTGATGGCTCACCCCTGTAATCCCAGCACTTTGGGAGGCTGAGGCGGATCACCTGAGGTCAGGAGTTTGAGACCAGCCTGACCAACATGGTGAAACTCCGTCTCTACGAAAAATACAAAAATTAGCTGGGTGTGCTGGCAGGCGCCTGTAATCCCAGCTACCTGAGAGGCTGAGGCACGAGAATCGCTTGAACCCGGGAGGCAAAGGTTGCAGTGAGCCGAGATCACACCACTGCACTCCAGTCTGGGCGGAAGAGTGAGTCTCTGTCTGAAAAAAAAGAAGATAACTTTTATCTAAAGAATCCAAGTTTTTTTAAATGATCAGGGCCCAGAGAGATATTAAAATGAGATAGCAATCACTTCCTATTCTCCCTTTTTGAGCTAAGATTCATCTATCAAAACTGCTTGCTATTGCCACAAGTGGGTAAGGATTAACCTAATAATGCCCTACCTGACGCTATATCCTACATCCTACAGCTTAATGTACAGCCAATCACTAACCAATGTTATTTCTGTAAATCAATGAGAATTCTTGATAAACAACTTTGTATGAGTCCCACTCCCTGTCCACATTTTTTTGCCTTTAAAAATCAAGTAAACTCTTCAAATCATATTTTGTGTGTTAGCCTCTTCCTTGCAGGTCAACACTTCTATAAAATACTGTAAAAAGAAATATTACCAACTGAGTGTGGTGGCTCACACCTGTAATCCCAACACTTCGGGAGGCCAAGGCTGGTGGATCACCTGAGGTCAGGAGTTCAAGACCAGTCTGGCCAACATGGTGAAACTCTGTCTCTACTAAAAATACAAAAAAATTAGCTGGGTGTGGTAGCACCCTCCTGTAATCCCAGCTACTCAGGAGGCTGAGGCGGGAGAATCACTTAAATCTGGGACAGGGAGGCTGCAGTGAGCTGAGATCGTGCCACCACACTCTAGCCTGGGCGATAGAGTGGGATTCTGTCTCAAAAAAAAAAAAAAAAAAAAAAAAATTACCAATCCATCCTTCACAAACTCCTTCAGAAACAAGATGAGGAAGGGGCTGGGCATGGTAGCTCACGCGTGTAATGCCAGCACTTTGGGAGGCTGAAGGGGGCAGATCACTTGAGGTCAGGAGTTTGAGACCAGCCTGGCCAACGTGGTGAAACCCCATCTCTACTAAAAATACAAAAATTAGCCAGATGTGGTGGTGAACACCTGTAATCCCAGCTACTCGGGACGCTGAGGCAGGAGAATCGCTTGACCTCCTCCAGGAGAACCAGGGAGACGAAGGTTGCAGTGAGCTGAGATCATGCCACTGCACTCCAGCCTGGGTGACAGGGTGAGACTGCATCTCAAAAAAAAAAATAATAATAATAATAAGGAAGATCTACAAGAGAAAATTTCTCAAATCTTGGGTTAAGATAAAGAGTTCTTAGATATGACACTAAAGCACAATACATAGGATAAAAAATGATAAATTTAATCTCATCAAAACTTAAAACTTTTGTGCTTCAAAAGGCACTGTTTAGAAAATGAAAAAACAAGTCACAGTCAGGGGGAAATACCTGGAAATCATATCTATAATAAAAGACTTGTACCCAGAATACACAGATAACTCTTACAACTCAGTAGAAGACAAACAGCCCAATTACAAAATAGGCAAATGATGTGAATAGATATTTCACCAAAGATCTACAAATGGGTAGTCAGCCCCTGAAAAGTTGCTCAGTATTATCAGTCTTTAGGAAACCACAATGAGATATCACTACATGCCCACTAGAATGCCTATAATCAAAAAAGACAAGTGTTGTCAAGGTTATAGAAAAAGCGAAACCCTCATACACTGATGGCAGAAATATAAAAGGTGAAGCCATTTTGGAAAACAGTTTGGCAGTTCTCCAAAATGTCAGAGTTACGATATGACCCAGCAATTCCACTCTTAGGGATATACTCAAGAAATGAAATGTATGTTCACACAAAAACTTGGGCATGAATGTTCGCAGCAGCACTATTCACAAAAACTCCAAACTGGAAACAATCCAAATGTCTAGAACTAATGAATGGATTAATAGAATGTGTTATATTCATTCAATGGAATTCTATTTAGCAATAAAAAGGAATGAAGTACTAATACACACCATGACTTGGCTGAACTTCAAAAACATGCTGAGAGAAGCCAAACTCAAAAGACTACCCAAGACAGAAAACAGGTCACTGGTTGCCTAGGGCAGGAGGTGGGAGTGGGGATTTAATATAAATGAGCTCAAAGGAACTAATTGGGGTGACGGAAATGTTCTAAAAGTGGACTGTGGTAATGGCTATACAACTCTGTACACTGGCTAACAATCACTGGCGATATGCTTACAATGGGTGACTTGTATGGTATATAAATTGTAACTCACATGAAGGTGCTAAGAGTAGAAAAAGGGTGAGTAGAACTTAATGTTGTAGGTGTCTACCTAGATTTCACATAAATGTGGGAGAAGTGAGAACAGGGAAATGAAATGGGTCATAACAGTGCCACTATACACTCATATACACATAGCAGACAGTTCACTTTTCAGAGCACAGTGGTTTTCTGCTTCAAGATCCAGGGCAAAGGTCACTTTCTTCTTGTGCACCTCCAACTCTTAAAACATTCCTCAGCACTGCATCCTTTACATTACACTGGAACTGTTTTGGTGTCTGCTTCCTGGACTAGACTGCAAGCCTTTCCAGGGCAAGGGCAGTATCTTCCTCTGATACTCCAGCTCTGAAGCTCAACCAGTTCCGGGTCCAGAGCAGGCATCAGTGAGTGTTTGTCAAGTTAATGAAAGGAAAATTGGGGTAGGGGAGGAAACTACCAAACAAGTGTGAAAGTAGGAGAGCCGGGTGCGGTGGCTCATGCCTGTAATCCCAGCACTTTGGGAGGTCAAGGCGGGCAGATCACTTGAGGTCAGGAGTTCGAGAACAGCCTGGCCAACATGGTGAAACCCCATCTCTACTAAAAATACAAAAATCAGCTGAGCGTCATGGCAGCAGCCTGTAATCCCAGCTACTCCGGAGGCTGAGGCAGTATAGAATTGCTTGAACCCAGGAGGCGGAGGTTGCAGTGTGATTGTGCCACTGCACTCCAACCTGGGTGACAGAGTGAGACTCTCTCAAAAAAAAAAAAAAAAAAAAGGAGAGAGGGCCCCAGAAATAGTGTGTGTGTGTGTGTGTGTGTATACATAAAATACTTACAAGTGTATATAAAAATATATATACAGATTTATGTGTGTATATATTATATATATACATTTATGTGTGTGTATATTATATATACGCATACACACACACCATTTCTGGGGCCCTGTCTCCTTCTTTTTTATATATAATATACATTATATATATATATAAACTTAGGAGACAGGCTAGACTTGTTTTTAAATTGGAGAAGTATATACCAGGGTATAGGTCTGTGTACCTTCCTTAGATATGGTCAAAATTTCAATTTTATCCAATTTTATCCAGGGCAGTCAGTTCACAAATAGCATATTAAACTTTCGAAGACAAGTCTGCTCAGCAAGCAAACAAATCACTGGAGAAATCTGATTTCCCTCCAGATACCTGACAAGGTTAGCAGAGAAGCCCAGATAGAGTTCTTGTACATCTGGGTTAGCATCAAGCAGCTGGCTCTGTAAAGGACAGTGAAGGGAGTCACACAAGCAGGTCAGGACAGCTCTTTTCCATCCTTCTCTTTCTTTCATCCCATCTTACCCAGTCTCAGGTCAAGTGCAGAGCAAGCTGGGGCGCTTCGGCCCAGGAGTGACCCCTAACGTGGCTTTGCATACACTGTTCTCAGCAACTTTGGGTCAAGTGTAGGACACAAAGAAGCTGGAGCCAAAGCAAACCCAGACCAGTTTCTCAGGCTCCTTGTCCCCACCTTAGAATAAGGGACCCAGCAAGTAGAGGCCAGAGAGCTAAAAACGGGTAAGCCAGGGCTCAGTCATCAAGACCAGGAGGAACCCAGGGGGTAAGGAGAAGGCCTTCCAGAGCCCTCGGAAGTGTGGGGCTTGAGAGAAGGGAGGCGAGAGGCCCTAGGAGGAAATCTGGAGATTGGGACGATGGGGAGTCAAGGAGTGGTGAGGGGCACTCGGCTTGGCTTACCGGGATGGCAAAGACTGTAGGTCTCCGACAGGACGAGTATAGGGATGACAGTCCTCGAATGTGGGAAAAACTGCGCTGTAGTGAATGATGAAGGAGGAGGAGGAAAACCCAGGGCCTGAGCGTGAGCGGCCCTTCACCCTCAGCGCGCTGGGGGCCCGATTCTTGGGGTGCCCGCGCCCGGATGGGGAGCACAAGTCTGGGGGTCCCGGGGCGCAGCACGCAAGGAGGCGGGCCAGGGGGTGTGACCGTCGGCGCTTCCGCAGTTCCCCGCGAGCCGCGCAGCGGGCGAGGGGCTTTCTGCCTCCAAAGCCCCCGACTCACCTTCCTCTCTACCCACCGGCTGGGCACCGGACACGGCTTCCCACAGGCGGCGCGCCCTCTCGCGGTCAAAGCGCACCCCGTCCGGCTCCTGGCCCTCCAGCAACTCCGAGCTGCTGTAAGGCCCGGCCGCTCCGCCGTCCGCGGCCTGCACCGTGGCCGGCGCGGGATACTCCATCTTCCCCGCAAACCCTCACCGGTAGAGAGCCTCTCAGGCGCCTAGGTATCGCGAGATTTGGTGGGTGGTACTTGGCCCAGCCAACAAATCTCGCGAGGTTTGGGCGCTGCACCCGCGCTGCCGTGCGGGACCCCGCGCTTATTTTGCTTTGCTACCTCTGGTACCTCAGAGCGTGTGCCGTGGATTCGGAAACCTGTCGCTGATTCCGCAGCAGTGACCCCCCCCTCCCGGAGAGGCTCGTGTGGTTTTGGCTCATGGCTCTCACCTTGCTCACGGTCAGCCCTTGATACTTTTCATTTCGTTCTCAAGGTCCCGTTATGTGGGAGTGTTTTCGCCATTTCATTCACAGGGAAACTGAGGCCCAGAACCTAAAAATGGTTAACTCAAGAGCTCGCTACTAGTAAGTAGTAGTACAGCTAAGGTTCCATATTACTGCTAATAATACATACTATTTGTTGAGTTCCAAGTGCCAGCTCCCAGCTCTGATCTTCCCCGAGACTCCGGACCTGTATACATCCAGTTGCCTCTTCCACAGTTCACTCGAATGGCTAATAGGCTTCTCCAATGTAGCTGTCAGACCCCAAATTTTATCTTCCAACCCCAGAGCTGCTCCTTCCCGTGTCTTTGGGAGCCACCATCTCTTGCCTAGGTTATTGTAGTAGCAACCTCACTGGCATTCCCAGCACAGCAGTTCCAGGAATCCTCTTATGACAAGTCAGATCATGACGCTTAGGTTCTCAAATCCTCCAACAGCTTCCCATCTCACTCTTAGTAAAAGCCAAAGTCCGGCCAGGCGCGGTGGCTCACGCCTGTAATCCCAGCACTTTGGGAGGCTAAGGGGGGGCGGATCACCTGAGGTCCGGAGTTCGAGACCAGCCTGACCAACATGGAGAAACCCCGTCTCTACTAAAAATACAAAATTAGACGGGTGTGGTGGCACATGCCTGTAATCCCATCTACTCGGAGGCTGAGCCAGGAGAATGGCTTGAACCCGGGAGGCAGAGGTTGCTGTGAGCCGAGCTGGCGCCATTGCACCCCAGCCTGGGCAACAAGAGCGAAACTCCGACTAAAAAAAAAAAAAGCCAAAGTCCTTACTTCGACCAACAAGGCCCTGTACAATCTGACTTCCCTTAACCTCCCTGATCCTGATGTGTTACTCAGTCCCCAACTCCTTAATTCCTGTCCCAGTTATCCAGGCCTCCTGGGGTGAATTTCTCTCATATATCTTCATGGCTCAGTCTCCCACTTCCTTCTCTGGCTACTCTATCTAAAATACCTTGTCTGGCTATCCCATCTAAAATGTTACTTTTCCACACACACTTCATGTCCTTCTTTCCTGCTTTATTTCTTTTATATTTTACCTTTTATCTTGCTTATTGTCTGTCTCCCGACTAGAAGGCAAGCCCCAGGAAGGCAGGGATTTTTGTCTCTTTTCTTTTCTTTCTTTTTTTAAATTGTTTTTGAGGCAGAGTTTTGCTCTGTCGCCAGGTTGGAGTGCAGTGACGCGATCTCGGCTCACTGCAGCTTCCGTCTCCCGGGTTCAAGCAATTCTCCAGCCTCAGCCTCCTGAGTAGCTGGGATTACAGGCACATGCCACGGCACCCAGCTAATTTTTATATTTTTGGTAGAGACGGGGTTTCACTATGTTAGCTAGGCTGATCTCAAACTCCTGATCTCATAATCTGCCTGCCTCGGGCTCCCAAAATGCTGAGATTACAGGCACATGCCACCTTGCGTAGCCTTTTGTCTCTTGTCATTGCACCTGAATCTCCAGCACTTTGAAATAGAACCTGGACCCTCCTAGGTATATACAAAACATTTGTTTAATGAATGAAGCTTTTAATATTACTAGCTTATTTCAACCTCATTTTTTCAAATACTTATGGAGAATTTACTATGAGCTAGATGATATTTTGAGCATGGAAATATAGTGGTGAACAAGACAGGGAAGCTGTAGTAAAGTATTTTTTATTGTAGTGGAGGAGAGTACAATAAGAAAGTTAACAGTAGGCCTGGCGCAGTGGCTCATGCCTGTAATCCAGCACTTTGGGAGGCCGAGGCAGGTGGATCACGAGGTCAGAAGATCAAGACCATCCTGGCTAACATGGTGAAACTCCGTTTCTACTAAAAATACAAAAAAATTAGCCGGGCGTGGTGGCGGGCGCCTGTAGTCCCAGCTACTCGGGAGGCTGAGGCAGGAGAATGGTGTGAACCCAGCAGGCGGAGCTTGCAGTGAGCCGAGATCGTGCCACTGCACTCCATCCTGGGCAACAGAGCGAGACTCCATCTCAAAAACAAAAAAAGTTAACAATAATAAGTGCTAAGGAGAAGATAAAACAGGATTGCATCTCAGGTGAATGATGTGTTAGGAACATTAATCAGGGTGGCATCAGGAGAAGCCTCTGGGAAAATGACATTTGAGCTAAGACCTGATTAATGAGAAGGCGTAGCCATGCAAAGAGCTGGGCAAGAGTGTTCTAGCAGAGAGAACAGCAGGTACAAAGGCCCTGAGGCAGGAGAGAGCATGATGTGTTGGAGGAACAGGAAAAACGACAGCATGGCTGGAGCCCAGTGAACAAGGAGGAAAGTAATATCAGAGGAGGCCAAAGAGAGACAGATATGAATTATTCTTGCTTGAGATCATATAGCTCATTGGTGTAATTTAGTCATTTATACTACAAGTATTTCCTTATTTATACTACAAATATTGAGCACCAGCACTATGTCAGGCCTCAGGCCCTAGAGCTTCCAAGCTTCCAATACAGTAGGTGACTGATGTTTGGCCAGTGTTTTACAATTTTTTTTTTTTTATAGACGGAGTCTCTGTTGCCCAGGCTGGAGTGCAGTGGCACCATCTCAGTTCACTGCAACCTCCACCTCCTGGGTTCAAGCAATTCTCCTGCCTCAGCCTCCCGAGTAGCTGGGATTACAGACATCCATCACTATACCCAGCTATGTTTTCTATTTTTAGTAGAGACGGGGTTTCATCTTGTTGGCCAGGCTGGTCTTGAACTCCTGGCCTCAGGTGATCTGCCCGCCTTGGCCTCCTAAAGTGCTGGGATTACAGGCATGAGCTACCACACCCAGCCTACAATTTTTTTTTTTTTTTTTCCGAGACAGGGTCTCACTAGTGCAGTGGTATGATCATAGCTCACTGTAACCTTGAACTCCCACACTCAAGTGATCCTCCAGCCTCAGCCTCCTGAGTAGCAAGGACTACAAGTGGACACCAACATGCCCAGCTAATTAAAAAAAATTTTTTTTTTGTAGAGACAGGGTTTCCCTATATTGCCCAGGCTGGTCTCAAACTCCTGAGCTCAAGCGATCCTCCTGCCTCAGCCTCCCAAAGTGCTGGGATTCCTGGTGTGAACCACACACCCAGCCCAGGGCAGTGCTTTACAGTTTGCAAAGCACCTACATTATAGCATTTAATCCTCAGGGTGGTTTCTGTGAGGGATTTCTTCATAAGTGATGATAAAGAAACAGACTAGGAAAGGTAAAGGTTTTGTGAAGATCACACAGCTAGTTAGGTACGAGCCCATGCTTGAACACTGGTCCTTAGATTGCAAATCTATGTCCTTTTGCCAAAACCAGATGACCAGCCTAAAAGTCAGTGACTGCACATTATTTATTCTCTTTTTATTTATTTATTTACTTTTAGAGACGGGGTCTCACTATGTTAGCCAGGATGGTCACAAACTACTTATTTATCTTAAGAGTTCTAGTTACTTACACTTGCATATAGCATAAGTTATTCAGGGATAATCCAAGGGATACAGGGGATTTTTGTCGAAGTCGCAGAACCCACAAGGATATTTTTAATACTATGTAACAAATACTGGGAGTGGAGTATATAAGTTGCTTTGCATATTATTGGAAAACAACCTCCAATCCAATTACATGCTCAAAATAATGTCCATTTATTCTCCAATGAGTGCTGTCAGGGTTCATCCCCTGTGCCATGGAGGCAGAGTCCTGAGCTACCCTGCTGAGGGTCTGAACAGCCTTCATTGTCACCAGTTTTCTATTTTGTCTTTGTGTAAGTGCTTCCAGGAATGGCCCAGGCCTGGACTCCTTGCTGGGACCTGGCAGTGCAGGTGATGCCTTATATTTGTTGGGCTGGCTTTTTATTTCCTCCTTGTGGAAAATGAGAACCATTTTCCAACACATCCTACTGTGTATTGTTGCCATGGGAGATGAACAATCCCAGGGAAATGACTTTGCTAAGGGACGGGAACTGGCTACTGTTCAGCATACATTTCAGTTGCTTAAATACTGACTCTGTATGTGCATGTGTGTGCATGTGCAAACGAAACTATAGTGCTTAAGATATAGTTCTTGCTCTCAAAGAGATTCAACTCTAGTTTTTCTTTCTTTTCTTTTTTTTTTGAGACAGAGTCTCACTCTGTCACCCAGGCTGGAGTGCAGTGGTGCGATCTCGGCTCACTGCAACCTCCGCCTCCCAGGTTCAAACAATTCTCCGCCTCAGCCTCCTAAGTAGCTAGGACTACAGGTGTGCACCACCACACCAAGCTAATTTTTGTATTTTTATTAGAGACAGGATTTTACCATGTTGGCCAGGCTGATCTTGAACTCCTGATCTCATGTGGTCTGACCACCTTGGCCTCCCAAAGTGCTGGGATTACCAGTGTGAGCCACCACGCCCAGCCTTAAACTCTAGTTTTTCTAACTCTAGTATGTCTAATCTAGTGACAGACATAAAAGTATCTACTGAGTATGTAATATCAGAGAGTATGTTTTAACTGCTATAACAGAGATAATGACTAGGCTGGGCACAGTGGCTCATACCTGTAATCCCAGCACTTTGGAAGGCTGAGGCGGGAGGATTGCTTGACCCCAGGAGTTCAAGACCATCATGGGCAACATGGCAAGACCCTATCTCTACAAAATTAAAAAAATTAGCTGGGTGTGGTGGTGTGTGCCTTTGGTCCCAGCTACTCAGGAGGCTGAGGTGAGAGGATCACTTGAGCCTGCAGTGAGCTGTTGTACCACTGCACTACCACCTGGGTGACACAGCAAGACCCTGTCTCAAAAAAAAAAAAAAAAGGGCCAGCGTGGTGGCTCAGGCCTGTAATCATAGCACTTTGGGAGGCCAAGTGGGCGGATCACCTGCGGACAGGAGTTCAAATGGTGAAACCTCGTCTCTACTAAAAAATACAAAAATTAGCTAGGCATGGTGGCAGAAGCCTGTAATCCCAGCTACTCAGGAGGCAGAGGCAGGAGAATTGCTTGAACCCAGGAGACGGAGGTTGCAGTGAACCGAGATTGCGCCACTGTACTCCAGCCTGGGCAAGAAGAGCAAGACTCCATCTCAAAAAAATAAAAAAGAGGGAGATGACAGCCAAGGCTAGTGGGCTAGTGTGGATGGGGTGGGACAATGAATCTACCATGTGGGGATCAGAATGGTATCTGAGTTACCTCCTAATAGTCTTTTTATTTCTCATCTCTAAGAACACATCTCAAACTATTAGAGGTGGCCACAGATTAGCTTTTACTAACAGGATGTAAAGAAGTGTTGTTTGAATCAGAATCTGAGATTGGTCCAGAACAGAAGGGGTGCTCTTGAGGAGAACTGTGGAACTACCAAGCCCAGCAGGGGCCCAGGGGCACATCTTTGCTGCAATCCTAGTCCACTTCTCAGGCTTCTTTATTTCATTTCATTTTTCATTTCATTTCATATTTCATTTCATTATTTTGACAGAGGTTCACACTTGTCACCCAGGCTGGAGTGCAATGGCGCAATCTCAGCTCACTGCAACCTCTGCCTCCTGGGTTCAAGTGATTCTCCTGCCTCAGCCTCCTGAGTAGCTGGGACTAGAGGCACCCGCCACCATGCCTGGCTATTTTTTGTAATTTTAGTAGAGACGGGGTTTTACCATGTTGGCCAGGGTGGTCTTGAACTCCTGACCTCAGGTGATTCACCTGCCTCGGCCTCCCAAAGTTCTGGGATTACAGGCATGAGCCGCCGCGCCCGGCCTACTGGATAATTTTCTTTTTTGAGACGGAGTCTCACTCTGTTGCCAGGCTGGAGTGCAGTGGCATGAGTGCAGTGGTAAGATCTCGGCTCACTGCAACCTCGGCTGACTGCAACCTCTGCCTCCCAGGTTCAAGCGATTCTCCTGCCTCAGCCTTCTGAGTAGCTGGGACTAGAGGTGCGTGCCACCACACCCAGCTAATTTTTTTGTATTTTTAGTAGAGGGGCGTTTCACCATGTTGGCCAGGATGGTCTCGATCTTTTGACCTCGTGATCCGCCCGCCTCGGCCTCCCAAAGTTCTGGAATTACAGGCATGAGCCACCGTGCCCAGCCTGGATAATTTTATAGTATTTTGTTTGTTTGGTTTTGTTTTGTTTTTGAGATGGAGTCTTGCTCTGTCATCCAGGTTGGAGGGCAATTACATGATCTCGGCTCACTGCAACCTCTGCCTCCCAGGTTCAAGCGATTCTCCTGCCTCAACCTCCTGAGTAGCTGGGATTACAGGCACCAGCCACCATGCCTGGCTAATTTTGTATTTTTAGTAGAGACGGGGTTTCACCATGTTGGTCAGGCTGGTCTTAAACTCCTGTCCTCAGGTGATCCCCCCACCTTGGCCTCCCAAAGTGGTGGGATTATGGGCATGAGCCACCGCGTCCTGCCTCTTTTTTTCTTTTTTGAGATGGAGTCTTCTTCTGTTGCCCAGACTGGAATGTGGTAGCGTGGTCTCGGCTCACTGCACCCTCAGCCTCCCGGGTTCAAGTGATTCTGTCTCAGCTGCCTGAGTAGCTGGGATTACAGATGTGCGCCACCACGTCTGGCTAATTTTTTAATTTTAGGTAGAGACAGGGTTTCACCATGTTGGCCAAACTGGTCTCGAACTCTTGACCTCAAGTGATCTGCCTGTCTCAGCCTCCCAAAGTGCTGGGATTACAAGTGTGAGCCACCATGCCTGGCCTAATTTTATGGTATCTTTAGGGACGCAGGGAAGCAGTGTCTTCAGGGGATGCCAGGTTTTAATTTAGAGACTTTCTAAGGACAGATTGAGGGCAGAGGGGAGTCTGTTGATCACAGACTGGGATTTACAGAGGATTTTGGGTTAGAGTCAAGTAATGCTTTCCAGCCTTTTCTCCATTATAGTCCACATAGAAAATGAGCATATCTGTATAGCATGTTAGAGTAAACAGATAAGGTTGCTCCTCCTCATCACTGCAGTGACAGTTTGGGAATTCCAGCCACTCTACATGCCCCGCTGGGCCACCCTTGGAGCTGGAGGGATGTATGTCCAGAGCCATATCAGGAAGAGAGTCCAGCTGCAACAGATAGCCGTCATATCTTGAACCCTGACAATGTCTGAGGCAAGCAGGCTGGGGATTAACCACAAATCTCTGAGAATTGAGCAGTTAACGCTGTGTGGTACTTAGCTTGACATGTATTGCTCCATTCTGCATGCATGAGTTATGTGATCTTAGGTAAATTCCTTAACATTTGTGAGGCTGCTTCTCCATCTGTAAAATGAGGAGATGATACCCACCTCAAATGGTTGTTGTGAAGATTAACTAATATAATCTCCGTAAACTACTTAGCACATTGCTTGGCACATAGTAAATGGTAGCTATGTAGTTTATTCCAAAAGCTATATTTTTCTGATAATTTAACATACTGATGTATTTTTAGTAGAGATGAGGTTTCACCATGTTTGTCAGGCCGGTCTCAAACTCCTGACCTCAGGTGATCTGTTCTCCTTGGCCTCCCAAAGTGCTGGGATTACAGGCATGAGCCACCGTGCCTGGTCTATACTCCTTTCTTACCTGCAGTACTTCAATGGCTTCTTGTTGCTTACCGGATAAAGTTAAAATGTCACGTGGTATAAGAGACCCAGTATATTCTACTTCCTTTTCCACCCACTTCCAATACTCTCTCAAGTACCAAGCCCTGCTGGATGAACTTTAGCACTGTGGTAGGTTCTCCAACTGGGGAATCCTTTCACACCCCTTTGCCTTTATTCATTCTATTCCCATTGCCTTTATTTATTTATTTATTTATTGAGATGGAGTTAACGCTCTTTCACCCAGGCTGGAGTGAAGTACTGTGATTTCACCTCACTGCAACCTCTGCCCTCCCAGGTTCAAGCGATTCTCCTGCCTCAGCCTTCCAATATTACCTTTAATGTCCTTCTACCATCTCCTGTTGTCCATTTGACAAACTCATTCAACTTCCACCCCAAGTTTCAACCACAGCATTACATATTGTGCAGAAAAGAATTAACATAGTAGGTTTGAGGCTATAGTAGACCTTTGAAAGGTCTGCTCTCAAGTTTGGCTTTTGGCTGGCATCTGGGAACTTGGATTTCAGAAGTGTTTCCAAATTCCATATAAAAGTGGCTCACTGCAGCTGGGCACAGTGGCTCATGCCTATAATCCTAGCACTTTGGGAGGCCGAGGTAGGTGGATTGCCTGAGATCAGGAGTTCGAGACCAGCCAGGCCAACATAGTGAAACCCTGTCTCTACTAAAAATACAAAAAATCAGCCGGGCATGGTGTTGCACGCCTGTAATCCCAGCTACTTGGGAGGCTGAGGCAGGAGAATCGCTTGAACCGGGGAGGTGGAGGTTGCAGTGAGCTGAGATTGCACTCTAACTTGGGCAACAAGAGCGAAACTCTGTCTCAAAAAAAAAAAAAAAAAAAAGAAAAGAAAAAAAGTGGCTCACTGAGTCTAAACTGTTTGTGCAAACAATATAGTTTATGCTGAACATCTACTTTCCTTCTGGGAGTGTGAAACTTTGGTTTGCACTAGGCAGAGTGGTAAGCTAGGCAGCCTGTGTAACTGACCCCTGATAAAACCCTGGATTCCTAGGCTCAGGCAAGTTTCCCTGGTAGATACCACTTCACAAATGTTGTCACAATTAGATGCTGGAGGAATTAAGTGACTCCACTGGGAAGGTACTCTTGAAACTTGTGCCCAGTTTCCTTTGGACTTCATCCCAGGTGCTGATTTTGCTTTGTATCCTTTGGCTGTAATAAATCATAGTGTAAGTGCTGTAGTTTGAGAAGCATTGGTTGCTTTTTTCCTTGTGGTTTTTAGCTTGTATCTCTATTGGCTGTGTTTCCTTTAACTGGAAGTTATATCTAAACACTTGGTGTATTTAAGTCAAATATTTTGGCTAGAATACGTCTTTGGAGATGTTGCATGATTCATGTTGTGTAGCATCTGAAGAACATAATAACATCATATCTGATTAATTCGCCAAGTGAAGCTAAATTGACCACCGGATTAGGGTAATGGTAGTTTAAACCTTCCATTATGTAAATAAGTTTCCTCTCTTATGATCAGAAAGTATCTTTGTGTGTGTGTGTGTGTGTGTGTGTGTGTGTGTGTGTGTGTTTGGATGCAGTCTTGCTCTGTTGTCCAGGCTAGAGTGCTGTGGCATGATCTCAGCTCACTGCAACCTCCGCCTCCTGAGTTCAAGCGATTCTCCTGCCTCAGCCTTCCAAGTAGCTGGGATTACAGATGTGCACCACCAAGCCCGGCTAATTTATGTATTTTTAGTAGAGCCATGTGGGCCAGGCTGGTCTCGAACTCCTGACCTCAGCTGATCCACCCAGCCTCCCAAAGTGCTAAGATTATAGGCATGAACCACTGTGCCTGGCCCTTTTTTTTTTTTTGATACAAGATCTCCGTCTGTCACCCAGGCTAGAGTGCAATAGTAAGATCATAGCTCATTGCAGCCTTAAACTCCATGGCTCAAGCAATCCTCCTGCCTGAGCCTCCAAAGTAGCTAGGACTATAGGCACATACTACCAAGCCTGGCTAGTTTTATTATTCATTTTTTGTAGAGATGGGGGTCTCACAATGTTGCCCAGGCTGGTCTGGAACTCCTGGCCATAAGTAATCCTCCTGCCTTACTGATTTTTAAGGTAAGAGCTTGTTTAAACATCTACTTTGAATGGGCACAAATGAGTTTTTACTTTTTTGAATATCATTATGGAATAATTTATTTTTTTCATTGATTCAGTGTGGTTTCTTTTTGTGTGGTTTTTGGGTTCTTTTTTTTAGACAGGGTCTAGCTCTGTCACCCAGGCTGGAGTGCAGTGGCGCGATCTCAGCTCATTGCAACCTCCACCTCCTGGGTTCAAGTGATTCTCTTGCCTCAGCCTCCCGAGTAGTTGGGATTACAGGTGCCTGCCACCGCGCCTGGCTAGTTTTCGTATTTTTAGTAGAGACAACATTTCTCCATGTTGGCCAGGCTGGTCACGAACCCCTGGCCTCAAGTGATCCACCCAGCCTCCCAAAGTGCCGGGATTGCAGGTGTGAGACACTGCGCCTGGCCCTGAAGTCAGTTTCGAAGTCAGTAAGACTCCATGACCCATTGAATCTGTGGGGAGAGGGGCTTTGTGGTGGTGGTCTAGGAGGCTTATAGCTTGAGGGAGAGTGGATAGTAATGTCACTAAGAGAGACAAATAATGTGTTAAATATACAGATTTTGAGGGGAAGATCATAAATTTGGTTGTGAATGTTCTGGGTTTTAACTTTATGTGGGACATAACAGGTGGAAAAGTCAAGTAGGCAATTGAGATTCGATGCTAGGAACCAGGACAGGAAAAACAGATTTGGATGCCAGTCACCAGGATGTAGAAAATCTCCCTAGCAGGGTGCGGTGGCTCACGCCAGTAATCCCAGCACTTTGGGAGGCCAAGACGGGCGGATCATGAGGTCAGGAGATCGAGACTATCCTGTCTAACACGGTGAAATCCCATCTCTACTAAAAATACAAAAAATTAGCTGGGCGTGGTGGCGGGCGCCTGTAATCCTAGCTACTCGGGAGGCTGAGGAAGGAGAATGGTGTGAACCCAGGAGGCAGAGCTTGCGGTGAGCTGAGATTGTGCCACTGCACTCCAGCCTGGGCAACAGAGCGAGATTCCGTCTCAAAAAAAAAAAAAAATTAAATCTTCACAATTTATGTTCCTCTGCCACGGCTCCAGCCGGTCCCTCCGTTTGGGGTCCCTGACTTCCCGCAACACATCTCCAGAACTCTTTTCACCGTGTTGCCTGTGCTTTTGATGTCATATTCAATATATTATTGCCAAATCTAAGGTCATGAAGATTTTCCCATATGTTTTCTTCTAAGAGTTTATTATTATTATTATTATTATTACTTTTTTAAAGACAAGGTCTCACTCTATTGCCTAGGCTGGAGTACAGTGGCTCAATCATAGCTCACTGCAGCCTGGAACTCCTGGGGTCAAGGGATCCTCCCATCTTAGCCTCCTGAGTAGCTGGGATTATAGGTGCACACCACCATAGCCAGCTAAATTTTAAATGTTTTTATAGAGATGTAGTCTCACTATGTTGCCCAGGCTGGAGTATAGTGGCTATTCACAGGCATGATTATAGTGTACTACATCCTTGAACTCCTGGGCTCAAGTAATCCTCTCACCTCAGTCTCCTGAGTAGCTGGGACTACTGGTATGTATCACTGTGCCCAGCTTATAGTTTATTCATTTTTAATTACACAGTAGTGGTTCTTTTTTTCTTTTCTTCTTTTTTTTTTTGTGACAGGGTCTTGCTTTGTCACCCAGGCTGGAGTGCAGTGGAACAACCTTGGTGGCTCACTGCAACCTCTGCCTCCCGGGCTCAAGCTATCCTCCCACCTCAGCCTCCCGAGTAGCTGGGACTACAGGTGCAAGCCCAAGTCCAGCTAATTTTTGTATTTTTTGTAGAGATGGGGTTTTGCCATATTGCCCAGGCTGGTCTCGAACTCCTGAGCTCAAGTGATCTCCCCACCTTTGCCTCCCAAAGTACAGGGATAACAGGCATAAGTCACCACACTTGGCCCAGTAGTGGTTCTTAAAATAAAATCAGAGCATTACAGATATATTAAGGTTTCTTTTGTCCACTCCCAATTTTGTACCTCCAGCCCCCTTTTGAAAAGCATCCTCTGGCCGGACCCGGTTGCTCACTTTGGGAGGCCGAGGCAGGCGGCTTACCTGAGGTCAGGAGTTCAAGACCAGCTTGGCCAACATGGTGAAACCCAATCTCTACTAAAAATACAAAAAATTAGCCAGGTGCAGTGGCACACGCCTGTAATCCCAGCTACTCAGGAGGCTGAGGCAGGAGAATCGCTTGAACCCAGGAGGCAGATCATGCCATTGCACTCCAGCCTGGGCAACAGAGTGAGATTTTGTCTCAAAAAAAAAAAGTATCCTCTATTATGTGTTTATTATATATCCCTGTATCTTCCTAGGCCTATGGGAATACTTTTAGATATATTTACTACCTTCAAAAACATGTGGTATTATTTGCATAAGAATATGTGTGTTTACGTAAATGGCATCACAATGAGCATATCATTCATCTTTCTTTACTCTGTGCTAGGCATTGTTCTAATTTTGACGACACAGCAATACACAAAATAAAGTTTCTATTCTCATGGACCTTACATTATCCTGCCACTTGGTTCTTAAAATTAATATCATGTATTGAGGTCTATGCGTGATGATACATGTAGATCTGTTTCATTTCTTTTTTCTGAGACAGGGTCTCACTCTGTCACTCAGTTTAGAGTGCAGTGGTGCGATCATAGCTCACTGCAACCTGGAACTCCTGGGCTCAACAGATCCTTCTGCCTCGGCCTCTCGAGTAGCTGGGACTACAGACACACACCACCACATGCGGCTACTTGTTTGCTTATTTTTTTTTTCTGGCCACACGGCATCTGTATAATTTTTTATTTTTAAATTTAATTTAATTTTTTGAGACGGAGTCTCACTCTGTCACCCAGGTTGGAGTTCAAGCAATTCTCCTGCCTCAGCCTCTCGAGTAGCTGGGACTTACTGGCGCGTGCCACCACGCCCAGCTAATTTTTGTATTTTTAGTAGAGACGGGGTTTCGCCATGTTGACCAGACTGGTCTCGAACTCCTGACCTCAAGTGATCCACCCGCCTCGGCCTCCCAAAATGCTGGGATTATAGGTGTGAGTCACCGTGCTAGGCCTGTTTTTATTTTTAGTAGAGACAAAGTCTCACTGTGTTGCCCAGGCTGATCTTGAACTCCTGGGCTCAAGTGATCCACCCACCTCAGCCTCCCAAAGTGTGTTTCATTTATTTTATTTAGTTTTTCATTTCTTAATTGTTGTATGTTATTCTATGAATATACTATATAATACATCATTCTCTTATGATGGACATTTAGTTTTATATCAATTAGGATGTTGTCTACTTCAGGTAACAGAAAAACATGACTCATAATGGTGTAAATATTAAGGAAACTTATTATTTCACATCATAGAAAACCCAGAAGTTGAACGGTTGCCAGGTATATATGATTAGGGTCCTAACTCTGCTATTTTCTGTTTTTTTTTTCCTCTCTTCTAAGCTCTGAAATAATTATATGTTTTTATATAACAAATTACCCCAAAACTTAGCGGCTTAAAACATAGGCCAGGTGCAGTGGCTTATGCCTGTAATCCCAGCACTTTGGGAGGCTGAGGCGGAAGGATCACTTGTGCCCAGGAGTTTGAGACCAGCCTGGGCACATAATGAGACTCCGTCTCCACAAAAAAACAACGAAAAAATAGCTAGCCACAGTGGCATGCACCTGTAGTCCCAGCTACTTGGGAAGCTAAGGTGGGAGGATAGCTTGAGCTCAGGAGTTTGAAGCTGCAGTGAGCCCTGATGACACCACTGCACTCCAGTACGGGTGACAGAGTGAGACCTTTAAAAAAAAAAAAACACCAAAAAACCATAAACATAGTTTTCATAGGTCACGAGTTGGGACACAGCTTAGACAGGTCTTTGGCTTAAGGTCTCTCCTAAGATGTGATCAAGCTGTTGCCCTGTGAGTCTTTCCATATGGCTATTTCTCACAGTATAGCATTTGGCCTGAGTGAGCAAATTGAGAACTTGAGATAGTACCCAAGAAGGAAGCCATAGAGTTTTTATCACCCACTCTTGGAAATGACATGCCATCATTTCTGCCTTATTCTATTGTTTAGAAGTGAGTTATTAAGCATAGCCCACACACAAGAAGAGAGATTACACAAGAGTGTGGTTGCCAGCCTGTGGGATCTAGGGCCATCTTACAGGCTGCCTGCCATAGGCTGTCTGTCCTCAGGTTTGCAGAATGGCTGCCACCACCAATGCATCAATAGTCTTCCCTGAAGTAAGATGCCCTAAAAGGATCTTTTTGGCCCTGCACTGAAACCTTTTCTGATCTCCCCACTCCTCAATTCAATTCAATCAACATTTTTTGAGTGTTTGCTTTAGGACAGGCCCATTGCTACTTGTGAGGATTACATGGATCATGTCTTCATAGAGCTCACAAGTCTTATAGAAGAGATATAGACTCATAGAGCAAAGAATTGTAGTATACTGTGGGAGATCGAATGTCCCAGCAGCTGAGGAAGGATGCAGGAGAAATGAACTGAGGTTCAAGGAAGCAGTGGAAGAAATGGTTCAGGTGGGTTTTGGAGGATCAGTTGGAGGTAGGTGGCATGGGGGAGATAGGGCAAAGGCATTCCAGAATGTAAATGTTACAGAAAAGTATTAAGAATAATGTGCCTGTAGTTCCACGTTCGATTACCCTACTGTTAACATTTTCTTACGTTTATTTTTAGGTCTCTCTCTCTCTTTTTTTTTTTTTTGAGACAGAGTCTCACTCTGTCACCCAGGCTGGAGTGCAGTGGTGTGATCTCGGCTCACTGCAACCTCTGCCTCCCAGGTTCAAGCGATTTTCCTGCCTCAGCCTCCCGAATAGCTGGGATTACTGGCATGTACCACCACGCCAAGCTAATTTTTGTATTTTTAGTGGAGATGGGGTTTCACCATGTTGGTCAGGCTAGTCTCTAACTCCTGACCTCAAGTGATCTGCCTACCTTGGCCCCCCAAAGTGCTGGGATTACAGGCGTGATCCACCACGCCTGGCCAGGTCTTTCTTTTTAATAGAAATCATGACAGATCTATCTGAAGTCCTGTTTGCTTCTCCCCACATTTTCCGCTACTCCTTCTTTCACCCCTTTACCATTACCATGGTATCCATCTAGTTCATCTTATATACTTTTACACACATAGATTTTCTGTAAACAGTATATACTGTTCTAATTTACCTATTTTTAAATTTATATAAATCATTTCACAGTGTACATATTTGTTGGCATGTCGCTATTTCAATAACTTAAGTAGTTGTGACCTAGCAAATGTTGACACATATAGGATTCCTTTGTTTTATTTGTTGTAGTATATCACTGTAGGGACATTTGGTGTTTTATTTATGCGAGACTTATTGGACATTTCTGCTGTTCACATTTTCCGCCAGGAAGCTGGCCTCCTTGAACATGTCTTGTGCACACCTGTAGGAGTGTCTGTATTTTTCTTTTCTTTCTTTCCCTTTTTTTTTTTTTTTTTTTTTGAGACGGAGTCTCGCTCTGTTGCCCAGGCTGGAGTGCAGTGGCAGTGACCTGGGCTCACTGCATCCTCCGCCTCCCGGATTCAAGCGATTCTCCTGCCTCAGGCTCCTGAGTAGCTGTTATTACACGCACGCGCCACCACGCCTGGCTAATTTTTGTATTTTAGTACAGAAGGGGTTTCTCTATGTTGACCAGGCTGGTCTCGAACTCCCGACCTCAGGTAATCCGCCCGCCTCTGCCTCCCAAAGCGCTGGGATTACAGGCGTGAGCCATCGCACCCGGCATTTCCGTATTTTTCTAGACGTGAAATTGCTGGGTCATAAAATGGACATTTTAAATTTCATCACACGGAATTGTCCTCAAAAGTGGCCGTTCTATACATTTTGCCCCACAGCTATCTCTGAGTCTGTTGTTACTCCTTGCTTTCCCCCAAAGCGCAAGCAACTGAGACCGCGCAAGGTGCGAGCCGGCTCACGGGCGGTCAGCGCCTCCCGCGCAGTTGGTACGTCCCGGATGGCTCCCCCGCGGCGGGGGTTGGTTAAGTCTCCGCGCGCTGCGCCTGCGCCCGCCCCGAGAGCGTGTCTCTGGCATCGGACGCGCGCGCCCCTCCCCCTCCCCCCGCGCTCCCAACGTGTGGCGGCTCGCGACCCCCGGCAACCCGGAGAAGGTCTACAGAGCGGCCTGCGCCAGCGAGTGAGTACCCGCCGCCTGCGCACAGCTCCGCCCACCCCTCCCTGCCTCCTTTTCTTCCTCAGCGGGTCCGCGGCCCGCTACTCTCCGGGAGGGGCGCTTCCCGACGCCAAGGTAGGCCTCTCCCGACGCCGGGGCGGCCCTTCCTGATGCCGGGGTGTGTCTCTCGCGACGCGGGGGTGGGCTCCGGACGCCGGGGCTGGCCTTGCCGAAGTCGGGGGTGGGTCCCTCCGGACGCCGAAGTGGGCTCGGGATGCGGGGCTGGGACCCTCCCGATTCCGGGGCGGATTCCGGACGCCGGGACCGGCCATTACTGGTGCCGGGTTGGGCTTCTCCAGATGCCGGGGCTGGGTCCTTCCCAAGGTTGAGGTGGGTTCGGGACGCGGGTTGGGTCTCCCCTGACGCCACGCAGGGCCCCTCGGAACGCCAGGTTGGGCTTTGCACCTTCGGTTGCCGGGCGGGTCCCTTTCACACCTGGGGGGCGGCCTGCATCCTCCCGGGCGTCGGGCGAGCGCCGAGCTCCCTCAGCCGTGGTCCGCGCCGCCTCACGCCTCGGGGCGCCAGGCCCGCGCTCCTTCCCGTGCCGGGTTGCTGTTTTGTTGTGTGATCCTCGTTTTCTCTAATTATTTGCCCCGAAAATAACCCCCAGCGCACTCCTTGGAGATCCCTATCGTCCTAGACGATTTCGCCCCCGCAGGGCCGGCGCGTTTCCAGGTGCTTAGGCAGCGCCGCAGGCTTCTCGAGCGCCACAGCCGGCGGGCTGGTGCCCTGCCGCTCAGTTAACGGGGCGCGAGTCCCGGGCAGTAGTGGAGCTGGATTTGAATCCCAGCAGCTGGACTCCAGTGTTCTTTCATTTAATCACTACATCGCACCGAGATATAGAAATGACACCCGGAAAAAGTGAAAAGTTTATGCTTCTGTCTTTATTGTTTTCCTGTCAAGGGAGGCAGTGCCTTGTAGTCGAATGAAAGTGTGTTTTTGGAATCAGATACATTCAGCTTCAACTCTCAGCCCTTTACCAGCTTATCCGCTGTTTGCGTTAAGTTTCCTCATGTGGAACATCGTGATATGAATACCTACGACGCAGAGTTGTTGTGATACTAGATACTAAAGTGTTTGGATTGTATTGTTACACACTTGTCCTAAACTGAGGCTGAATATAAACTGAAAAAATGGAAAATGAAGTATCAGGGATGTATGCGTGTGTAGGTATGCATTTACCTTTTTACAAAAATTACGGAAATAAGTTCATTGTATTTAGTTATTAGAGCGCTTGGTCGACGGGCCTGGTGGCTCACTCCTATACTCCCAGCACTTTGAGAGGCCGAGGCAGAAAAATCACTTGAGTCCAGGAGTATCAAGACCCGCCTGGGCAACATAGGAGACCCTGTCTCTACAAAAAATAAAAAAAATTATTAGAGTGTGGTGGCGCCTGCCTATAGTCTCAGCTACTCAGGTGGCTGAGGCAGGAGGATCCCGTGAGCCCAGGAAGTGGAGGCTGCAGGTGAGCTATGATCGTGCCACTGCCCTTCAGCATGGGCAAGAGAGTGAGACCCTGTCTCTTAAAACCCTCAAAATTAAAAAAAAAAAATTAGCTGGGCGTGGTGGCGCGTGCCTGTGGTTCCCAGCTTCTCGGGAAACTGAGGTAGGAGGATTGCTTGACCTTTGGACCAGGTCGAGGCTGATTGCCCTACTGCACTCCAGCCTGGGTGACAGAGCAAGACCTTGTCTCCAAATAAAGAAAGTGCTAGGTACCTATTTAGGGGTAAAAGTCAATCATTTATAAAGGATTGTTCTTAAGGTCCCTGTGCCCCCAAGCTTTCAAAGCAATTTTGACAAGTTTGGTACCCAGACTGTCAAGATTTTAAATTACCTTGTCAGTGATTTTTCTTCAGATAGATCAAGACGATGGATGTGCTGAAATAAAATGGCAAATAATATCTGAAATTGAGGATTTTCAAGGACACTGCCCAAAATGTTACCTGTGAAATAAATAAGTCTCATTACTGGGGCACCTGTCCTGCTTCTGCATCTTTCTGGAGACATTTTGTTCCTTAATTGTCATTAAGAAGCTGCTGTTGGCATCCAGACTTGATTCCTCCTTCATTGGCAGTTAGTGGTAATTCATTTTAGCTTTAGTTCAATAAGTGAAGATAGACCATTATTTTAGTGAGTTCTTCATCTTTGAAGGGTAGTAACTTAAAAAAAAATAGTAGTTGAACTGTATACAGGCTTGCTTGTTTAAATGAACTGATCAGGGACCTTTCTTATTTACGTTTTTAGAATTACTGTGGAAAACAGTAATTTAATGTGGCTAAATCTCATGAAGCACTGGAAATTTTGGAATTTGTATCTGTGGGGAGCCTGTACTTAATGCTTCTTATTGATCCATCATCTGCTGTGATTCTTTGAAAACCCACCTTGAGCCTGCAGTGGTTCTATGCTGGGTTTTTATTTATTTACATGCCTTTTAGAAATTAGACATATTTTGTGGTATAGCTTTGTTTGCTATCAAATTTGAGCATATTGGTTTAAGTATATGGTACATGTAATCCCAGCACTTTGGGAGGCTGAGGTGGGCAATTGCTTGCACCCAGGAGCTCAAGACCAGCTTGGATAACGTGGTGAAACCCAGTCTCTACAAAAAATACAAAAAATTAGCTGGGCTTGTTGGCACATGTCTGTAGTCCCAGCTGCCCAGGAGGCTCTGGTGGGAGAATTGCCTGATCCTGGGAAGTCGAGGCTGCAGTGAGCTATTATCATGCCACTGCACTCCATCACAGAGTGAGGCCTTGTCTCAGTAACAATACACGTGCACACACGGTACAGGAAACATTTAAATAGGATGGAAACTACTCTGTGTGAGAGGTTTTCCCAGTGCATTACGCTTCTCCAGTCTTCCCCCATACTCATCTCTGCTGCCAAGTACTACTCATGCTATACTCTTAGATTTAAGGATTACCTTAAGTTTTTTGTTTGTTTGTTTGTTTGTTTGTTTTTGAGACAGAGTCTCATTCTGTCGCCCAAGCTGGAGTGCAGTGGCGCAGTCTTGGCTCACTGCAATCTCTGCTTCCCGGGTTCAAGTGATTCTCCTGCCTCAGCCTCCTGAGTAGCTGGGATCACAGGCGCGCACCACCATGCCCGGGTAATTTTTGTATTTTTAGTAGAGACGGGGTTTCACCCTGTTGGTCAGGCTGGTCTTGAACTCCTGTCCTCGTGATCTGCCTGCCTCGGCCTCCCAGAGTGCTGGGATTACAGGCGTGAACCACCGCGCCCGGCCTACCTTAAGTTTTATATCCTCCATACAACTTTTTTCAGCCATATCCTTTTATATTACAATTACTACTCAAAGTATGTTTGAATTCTGTTGTTACACACCTGTCTCAAATTGAGACTGAGTATAAACTGGGATATAAAATATCAAGGGTGTGTGTTTATATGTGTGTGTGTGTGGGTATGCATTTACCTATTTTTTAAAATTATAGAAATAAGCTCATTGTAATTAGTTGATAAAGTGCTTCGTGGCACTTTAATTTTTTTTACCTTTAATTTTATCCTGTGCGTTAAATGCATATATAGCATTTAATAATTTAAATATACACTTTGTGCTCTTTATTCACTCAGCAAATATTTATAGGTGCGTATCCTGTATCAAGCAGCAGTTTTAGTTAGAGGAGATATAAGTCATGGAAATTGGAGTCCAGTTTTCATGTCAGGAGACAAAAGTGCAAGTGCCTACTGTGTTTGGGCAAGTTACTTTTCTGAACCTGTGTTTCCTCATAATGATATATTCTGGTTTCTTAGGATTTATTGAAATATTCACTCATCAAATATTTATTATTATTATTATTATTTTTGAGACAGAGTCTCGTTCTGTCCTGAGCTGGAGTGCAGTGGCACGATCTCCGCTCACTGCAAGCTCCGCCTCCTGGGTTCATGCCATTCTCCTGCCTCAGCCTCTCAAGCTGGGACTACAGGCGCGTGCCACTACGCCCGGTTGATTCTTTGTATTTTTAGTAGAGACGGGGTTTCACCGTGTTAGCCAGGATGGTCTCGATTTCCTGACCTCGTGATCCACCTGCCTCGGCCTCCCAAAGTGCTGGGATTACAGGCGTGAGCCACCGTGCCCAGCCATATTTATTATTTTTAAAAACTTTTTATTAAGATATCATTTATATACAGTAGAGTGAACCCGTCTTAATTGTACAGTTCAATGTGTACACCCGTGTAAGTACCACCAAGGTATGGAACATTTTCAGAAGGCTCCCTTGTGTCTTTCCCAATCAGTACCCTCCAGAGGTAACCGATGTTCTGACTTGGATCACCAGAGGTTAATTGTTTTATTTTTTATTTTTATTTTTTTGGGAAAAGGTCTCACTGTCACCAGTCTGGAGTGCAGTGGTGCAATCATAGCTCACCACAACCTCGAACTCCTGGGCTCGAGATCCCTTCTCCTCAGCCTTCTGAGTAGCTGGGACTACAGGTGCACGCCACTATGCCCAGCTAATTTTTTTTTTTTTGTTTTTTTTTTTTTGAGACAGTCTTACTGTTGCTCAGGCTGGAATGCAGTGGTGCGCTCTCGGCTCACTGCAACCTCTCCCTTCTGGGTTCAAGCGATTCTCGTGCCTCAGCCTCCCAAGTAGCTGGGATTACAGGTATGTGCCACCATGTCTGGCTGATTTTTTTTTTTTTTTTTTTTTTGGGAAACAGAGTCTCGCTCTGTCGCCCAGGCTGGAGTGCAGTGGTGTGATCTCAGCTCACTGCAAGCTCCGCCTCCCGGGTTCACACCATTCTCCTGCCTCAGCCTCCCAAGTAGCTGGGACTGCAGGCGCCTGCTACCTCGCCCCACTAATGTTTTGTATTTTTTTTTTTTTTTTAGTAGAGCCGGGTTTTCACTGTGTTAGCCAGGATGGTCTCGATCTCCTGACCTTGTGATCCGCCCCCCCTCAGCCTCCCAAAATGCTGGGATTACAGGCGTGAGCCACTGCACCTGGCCCTCAGTTTATTCTTTGTCAAGATTGTTTAAACTGTTCTGGGGCCCATGCCTTTCTATATACATTTAGAATAAGCTTGTTTATGTCTACTAAAAGTCTTAGTGGGATTCTTATAGGAATTGCATTAAACCTAAGATAACGTTCTGTGCTCCCAAAGGTTGAAGAAAAAAAACAACAACCTAGGATCAGTTTGGGGAGAATTGATATGTTTACTATGTTGAAGCTTCCAACCTGTGGGCATGGTATGTCTCTACTTATTTAGATCTTTGATTTCTTTCACTAGTTATTCAAAAAACAAAACCCCATAAAACAACTTACGTATAAGTCTATCCACACACCTGCAGTGAACTCATTTTCGACAAAGTTGCCAAGAACATACACTGGGGAAAAGACAGTCTCTTCAATAGATAGTGCTTAGAAAACTGGATATCTATATGCAGAAGAATGAAACTAGGCCTCCATCTCTTGCCATATACAAAAATCAAATAAAAATGTATTAAATGTATTAAATCTAAGACCTCAAACTATGAAATTACTACAAGAAAACTTTGGGGAAACTCTCTAGGACATTGGTCTGGGCAAAAACTTCTTGAGTAATATCCCATAACCACAGGCAACCAAAGCAAAAATGGACAAATGGGATCACATGAAGTTAAAAAGCTTCTGCACAGCAAAGGAAACAATAAAGTGAAGAGACAACCCACAGGATAGGAGAAAATATTTGCAAACTACCCATCTGACAAAGGATTAATAACCGGAATGTATAAGGAACTCAACTCTATAGGAAAAAAAATCTAATAATCCAATTTAAAAAATGGGCAAAAGATTTGAATAGACATTACTCCAAAGAAGACATGCAGGCTGGGCACGGTAGCTCAGGCTTGTAATCCCAGCACTTTGGGAGTCCGAGGCAGGTGGATCACCTGAGGTCGGGAGTTCGAGACCAGCCTGACCAACATAGAGAAACCCCATCTCTACTGAAAATGCAAAATTAGCCGGGCGTGGTGGTGCATGCCTGTAATCCCAGCTACTCAGGAGGCTGAGGCAGGAGAATCACTTGAACCTGGGAGGCAGAGTTTGCAGTGAGCCGAGATTGTGCCATTGCACTCCAGCCTGGGCAATAAGAATGAAACTCCATCTCAAAAAAAAAAAAAAAAAAAGACATGCAAGTGGAAAACAGGCATATGAAAAGGCGTTCAACATTATTGGTCATCAGAGAAATGCAAGTCACAACTACAGTGAAATATCTCACCCCAGTTAAAATGGCTTATATCCAAAAACACGTAATAGGAAATGCTGGCAAGGATGTGGGGTAAAGGGAACCCTTGTACACTGTTGGTGGGAATGTAAACTAGTACCAGCACTATGGAGAACAGTTTGGCGTTTCCTCAAAAAACTAAAAGTATGCCGGGCGCGGTGGCTTATGCCGGTAATCCCAGCACTTTGGGAGGCCGAGGCGGCGGATCATGAGGTCAGATTGAGACCATCCTGGCTAACACGGTGAAACCCCGTCTCTCCTAAAAATGTAAAAAAATTAGCCAGGTGTGGTGGCGGGCGCCTGTATCCCAGCTACTCGGGAGGCTGAGGCAAGAGAATGGTGTGAACCCGGGAGGTGGAGCTTGCAGTGAGCTGAGATGGCACCACTGCACTCCCGCCTGGGTGACAGAGCGAGACTCCATCCCAAAAAAGAAAACAAAACAACTAAAAGTAGAGCTATCGTATGATCCAGCAGTCCCACTGCTGGGTATGTATCCAAAAGAAAGGAAATCAGTATATTGAAGAGATATCTGCACTCCCAGGTTTGTTGTAGCACTATTTACAATAGCCAAGATATGGAATCAATCTGTGTCCATCAACAGATGAATGGATAAAGAAAATATGGTACTTATACATAATGGAGTACTATTCAGCCATAAAAATGAATGAGATCCTGTCATTTGTAACAACATGGGTGAAACTGGAGGTCATTATGTTAAGTGAAATAAGCCAGGCACAGAAAGACAAACATTGCATGTTCTCACTTATTTGTGGGATCTAAAAATCAAAACAGTTGAGCTAATGGAGATAGTAGAAGGATGGTTACTAGAGGTTGGGAAGGGTAGTGGGGGATGGTGGGGAGGTGGGGATGGTTAGTGGGTACCAAAAAAAAAAATAGAATCAATAAGACCCAGTATTTGATAGCACAATAGGATGACTTATAGTCAATAATAATGTAATTGTACATTTTAAAATAGTATAATTGTATTGTTTGTAACACAAGGATAAATGCTTGAGGGGATGGATACCTTATTTTGTATGATCTGACTATTACATATTGTGTACCTGTAACAAAGCATCTCATGTATCCCATAAATATATGCACCTATGTACCCACAAAAATTAAATTTAATAAAATGTATAAGACTTATATGCTAAAAACTAAAATGTATGTTAGAAAACTTAAAAATACTGCAAGATTTTTTTGAGGATTATTATTATTATTTTTTCTGAGACAGGATCTTGCTCTGTCACTCAGTCTGGAGTGACTGCAGCCTTGATCTCACGGGCACAAGTTATCTCCCACCTCAGTCTCCTGAGTAGCTGGGACTACAGGTATGCAACACCATGCCTGACTGATTTTTAATTTTTTTTTGTAGGGACGGGGTCTTGCTGTGTTGCCCAGGCTGGTCTCAAACCCCCTAGCTCAAACAGTCCTCCTGCCTTGGCCACCCAGAGTGCTGGAATTACAGGCGTGAGACACTGCACCCAGCCTGAGCATTATTTTTAAATTATAAAATGAGCGCAGACTTGTAGGAATTTTGAATAAAGGAGAAAAATACGTATACATTCACTACACTAAATTATTCCAAGGTTTGTATAATTTTTTGTTTTGTTTTGTTTTTGTTTTTTTTGAGACGGAGTTTTGCTCTTATTGCCCAGGCCAGAGTGCAATGGCATGATCTTGGCTCACCGCAACCTCCACCGCCCGGGTTCAAGCGATTCTCCTGCCTCAGCCTCCTGAGTAGCTGGGATTACAGGCATGCACCACCACGCCTGGCTAATTTTGTATTTTTAGTAGAGACAGGGTTTCTCCATGTCTGTCAGGCTGGTCTCGAACTCCTGACCTTAGGTGATCCGCCCGCCTTGGCCTCCCAAAGTGGTAGGATTACAGGCGTGAGCCACTGTACCCAGACTTTTTTTTTTTTTTTTTTTGAGACAGAGTCTTGCTCTGTCGTCCAGGCTGGAGTGCAGTGGTGGCGCAATCTCAGCTTAGTGCAACCTTTGCCTCCTGGGTTCAAGTGATTCTTGTGCCTGAGCCACTCGAGTACCTGAGATTACAGACATGTGCCACCATGCCCAGCTAATTTTTGTATTTTTAGTAGAGATGGGGTTTCACCACGTTGGCCAGGGTGGTCTCGAACTCCTGACCTCAGATGATCTGCCGAAAGTGCTGGGATTACAGGGGTGAACCACTGCAAATAAGTATTTATTGATCCCCTATCATTTGCCACAGCATTTGGTAGGTGCTGGGACTGTTTCTTCCTTGCCTTCCTTAAGGCTATAGTCCATTGAGAAAGACAGACATTTCTTTCTCGATGAAAAATCACGCAAATGAGTGTGTAATTAAAACTGTGTTAACTGATTTTGACAGGTGCATGGTACTTTGAAAATGTATAGTAGAGGTATTTGACCAATCTGGGGAGCCAAGAAAGATTTCTCTGAGAAAGTTATTCTTCTGAAGGATGAGAAGGAATTAACTAGGTGAAGGGGAATGTTGGGGAATCTTCCATTCATAAGAAGCAAGTATAGAGGCCTCATGACATTAAAGGAGTATGGCTGGGGCTTAAGAACTGTGAGAGAGCTTAGAAAGAGCAATCTGGCAGGAGGGCAGATAATACGGGACATACTTTGTAGACTATGTTAAGAGCAAAAATGTCCTAACTATAAAAATAGTGGGAAACCATTGAAATGGGTTTTTTTTTTTTTTTTTTTTTGAGACAGAGTCTCGCTCTGTTGCCCAGACTGGAGTGCAGTGGTGCAATCTCTGCTCACTGCAAGCTCCGTCTCCTGGGTTCACGGCATTCTCCTGCCTCAGCCTCCTCAGTAGCTGGGACTACAGGGGCCCGCCACCACGCCCGGCTAATTTTTTTGTAATTTTAGTAGAAACGGGGTTTCACTGTGTGAGCCAGGATGGTCTCGATCTCCTGACCTTGTGATCCGCCTGCCTCGGCCTCCCAGAGTGCGGGATTACAGGTGTGAGCCACCGTGCCCGGCCTGAAATGTTTTAAGTAGTGGAGTACTTTAAGATTTGCAGTTGAAAAGAAAACAGCTTTGGTGTGTAGAGATTGGAGGGGAACGGTGGTAAAAGTAAGGAACCCAGTTATGAGTCTGTTAAAATTGTCTACACGAGAGTTGTTGGTAGCTTGGATGGTGATAGTGGTGAAAATGAAAAGAAATGGAGAGCTTAAAGAGAGGTATAGGAGGTGAAATCAGTTGCACATAAGGATGAATTGGATATGAAAAATGAGGGAAAGAGAGTTAAAGATAACATCTTGGTTCTGTACAGGGCTGGAAGGTGTGTACTAGCTTTCAAGTCTGCCCCAACTCTTTTCTCAGGGCTCTCAAATTTGTGTGTGTGTGTGTGTGCGCACGCGTGCACATAGATCCCGCTGAGCAGGGTTATGTAGGAAGCTTGGGCCTATTGTGGTCTCTGCTGTGCATTTCAACAGCCTCTGACCATTCTGGGATATTTTGAGAGTTTATGAATCCTCCTATGGCTGTCTTATTTCATGGAGCTTCCTGATAAATCTCTGACTCATCTTCTCATTTGTTGCTTGTCTCAGGTAAGACCCAATGGCAGGCAATTGGCCACTAAGATTGGAGTAACGATACTCCACATCTCATCTGTTCCCTTCAGCTGTTGCAGTGCAGTGGTTGGTACTCATATTCTGTCCTTCCCTGGTTAAACTACTGGACTCATAGTTCAACCTGTGATTTGAACTGAGGAGTAGGGTACTGAATAGGGGAGTTGATCCTAGGTGTGAATCACAGAGACTCATGGTATTCTTACCCAAAGTTCAGTCGTTTTCATGAGTGAACATTTCTTAGTTTGTTTTATGCTTTTGGTCAGTTTCCAAGTGCTGAAATGGTTGTCTTGACTGTTTTGGGTTAGCTTTATAGTTTTCTTGAGAAGAGATTTGTCAACCTCCTTACATGGTCATGATGGTAACCACAAGTCCTTTTTTAGTTTGTTTATTGACTTAACACCACTCAGTGACTATTTTGAGTTTTCATCAAGGTATATAACTGTGTAATCACCTCCACAATCAAGATAGAGAACATTACCTCAAAAGTTACCCTCCTGCCCCTTACCAGTAATTTCTCTTCCTCTTCTGACCTGGCTCCAGGCAAATGCTGGTCTGTTTTCCTTTAACTGTTGATTAGTTTTTTTCTAGTTTCATACAGGTAGAATCATAGTTTGTAGTCTTTTAGACATTGCTTCTTTTGCTCACCATAATGTCTTTGAGATTCATCTGTGTCGTTGGATGCATCAGTAGTTTGTTCCGTTTTATTGTTGAGCAATTTTTCATTGTAGAGATAGGTCTCAATTTGTTTATTCACATGTTGATGGATATGTGGGTTATTTCCAGTTTTTGTCCCTTATGACTAAGGCTGCTATGATGAACATTCACGTCTTTATTTCTCTTGAGTAAATACCTAGGAATGAAATGGCTGGGTAATGTAGTAGATACATGCTTATTTTTTAAGAAACTCCCAAACTGTTTTCCAAAGTGGATGTACCACTTTATATTCCTTTTTTTTTTTTTTTTTTTTTGAGATGGAGTTTCACTCTTGTTGCCCAGGCTGGAGTGCAATGGCATGATCTCGGCTCACCGCAACCTCTGCCTCCCAGGTTCAAGCGATTGTCCTGCCTCAACCTCCCAAGTAGCTGGGACTACGGGCTCCTGCCACCATGCCTGGCTAATTTTTTGTGTTTGTAGTAGAGATGGGGTTTCACTGTGTTAGCCAGGATGGTCTCGATCTTTTCACCTCGTGATCCACCCGCCTTGGACTCCCAAAGTGCTAGGATTACAGGTGTGAGCCACCGTGCCTGGCCTTTTTTTTTTTTTTTTTTTTTTTTGGAGACAGAGTCTTTCTCTGTCACCCAGTCTGGAGTGCAGTGGTATGGTCTCGGCTCCTGAGTTCAAGCAATTCAATTCTCCTACCCCAGCCTCCTGAGTAACTGGAATTACAGGTGCATGTCACCACACCCAGCTAATTTTTGCATTTTTAGTAAAGACGGGGTTTCACTGTGTTGGCCAGGCTGGTCTCAAATCCTTGTCCTCAAGCAATCTGCCTATCTCGACCTCCCAAAGTGCTGGGATTACAAGTGTGAGCCACCATGCCCAGCCCACAAGTTGTCATTTCATCTGTTGATGGAATCTGGGTTGTCTTTGGTGTTTGACATTATGGAAAGAGCTGCTATGAACATACATATACAAGTTTTTGGGTGGTAATGTTTTCATTTCTACTGAGTAATTAATAGTAGTGGAATTGAAGCAAAGTTAAAAAGAGAAAAACAAGTTTTCCTGTACTTGGCTGACTCACTCCAAGGCCAGCAATAGGCAGGGCCCTGGCAGAGCCTTGATAACACTATCTGAAAAGCCAGAGCCCAAAGGAATGAGCTCCAGATACTCTCCCAGCACACTGCCCCCCACACCCCGCCCCAGAGTGAGGATAAGAAAAGAAAACAAATTCCTTTCTCATAACTATTTCTACAAATACCTGTGTTTCACAAGTTTTGTAAGTTCCTGTTTTCCCTACTGTGCAGCTGCATGATCACAAGCTATGCCTGCGTTGCGAGACCTGTCGCAATTTAATTAACTGCCTTTGTTCTGCTTCTGTAAGCCTGCTTGCCTGCCCCATGAGTTTCGCACTGTCACATTCCCACCGCACCATTCAAACTAGCCAACTCCCTTTCAGAAGTGTGTATAAAAGTCAAGCCCTGTCTTTGTTGAGGGCTCAGCCTTTGGATGTTAATCTGCTGGGCTGGTGGCCACCTAAAGAAAATCCTCCTGTTCCACGCATTGGTCTCTCCAGTCTCCAGATTCCTGCAACAGAATGACTGGCTTACATGACAGTTATACTTTTTTTTTTTTTTTTTTTTTAAAGAAACTGCCAGTTTTCCAAAGTGGTTATGCCATTTTACATTCCCATTAGCAGTATATGAGAGGTTCATTATATTCTGCATTCCTGCCCACATTTGTATTGTCACTATTTTCAATTTTAGCCATTCTAATGGATATACAGTGTTAGGCCATTGTAAATTTAATTTGTAATTTCTTGATGAATAATGATATTGAATATCTGTTTGTTTTTCCTTATTGGCCTTTAGTATATCTGCTTTTGTGAAGTTTGTTAATATCGCTTGCTTCTTTTAAATATTGGTTTGTCTTTTTTTATTTTTTCTTTTGAGATAGGGTCTCAGTGTGTTGTTCAGGCTGGAGTGTAATTTTTGGAATCCACCTAGAGATGTAAAGTGACATAGCCAGCCTCCCAGTGTTTATGTGTTTAATAAGCATGTTTATGCTGCATTACCCAAGTGTTTTTTACTATTTCATCCTTTTCACACTTTGATTTTTGTATACTTTCTTCTTTTTTTTTTTTTTTGAGATAGAGTTTCACTCTTGTTACCCAGGCTGGACTGCAGTGGTGTGATCTTGGCTCACTGCAACCTCTGCTTCCTGAGTGCAAGCAGTTCTCCTGCCTCAGCCTCCCAAGTAGCTGGGACTACAAGTGCCTGCCACCATTCCCAGCTAATTTTTGTATTTTTAGTAGAGACGGGGTTTCACCATGTTGACCAGGCTGGTCTCAAACTCCTGACCTCAGGTGATCCTCCTGCCTCAGCCTCCCAATGTGGTGGGATTACAGGCGTGAGCCACCGCGCCTGGCAGATTTTTGTATGTTTTCCAGTACACAAAATACATACATTAGTATTCATATAGTTAAAAAAGTAAATATACATATGTTGTGGTTGTGCCTTACAAATTATCAGTAGAGATACTTTATAATTATTAGACTTTAAGTCTTTAAGTTCTGGGGTACATGTGCAGAACGTACAGGTTTTTTATATAGGTATATTCGTGCCATGATGATTAGATATATTTTTAAAAGGTAAGAAAATATTTGTGCCTGGGCATGGAGGCTCACATCTGTAATCCCAGCACTTTGGGAGACCTGGGTGGGAGGATCACTTGAGCCCAGGAGTTCGAGACCAGTCTGGGCAATGTAGTGAGACCTTGTCTCTACAAAAAATAAAAAGTAAATTAGCTGGGTGTGGTGGCACATGCCTGTGGTCCTAGCTACTTGGGAGGTTGAGATGGAAGAATTGCTTGAGTCTAGGAGGTTGAGATTGTGGTGAGCCGTGTTGGCCTCATAAAGTGCTGGGATTACAGCATGAGCCACTGCACCCGGCCAAGAATTTTTTTTTTTTTTTTTGAGATGGAGTCTTGCTCTGTTGCCCAGGCTGGAGTGCAGTGGCACAGTCTTGGCTCAACCCCTGTCTCTGGGGTTCAAATGATTCTCATGCCTCAGCCTCCCCAGTAGCTGGGATTATAGGTGCACACCACCATGCCCAGCTGATTTTTGTATTTTTAGTAGAGATGGGGTTTCGCCATGTTGGCCATGCTGGTCTCCAACTCCTGATCTCAGGTGATCCACCTGCCTCAGCCTCCCAAAGTGCTGGGATTACAGGCGTGAGCCAACATTTCTGGCCCAATAATTGTTTGTATATTCTGGATACAAGTCTTTTGCAAGATAAATGTATTGCACATATTTTCTTCCATTCTATGGTGGCTTTTTGTTTTCTTTTTTGATACGGGGTCTTACTCTGTTGCCTAGGCTGGAGTGCAGTAGCATGACCACATCTCATTGCAGCTTTGACCTCCCTGGTTCAGGTGATTCTTCCACTTCAGCCTTCTGAGTAGCTGGAACTACAGGTGTGTGCCACCATACCCAGCTAATTAAAAAAAATTTTTTTTTTTTTATAGAGACAAGGCCTTGCTATTTTGCCCAGATTGTCATTCTGTGGCTTCTTAATGGTCTTTTTTTAAAGAGCAGAAGTTTTAAATTTCAATAAAGTCAAATTTATCAATTTAAAAAATTTCTTTATGTCCTAAGAAAGCTTTATTTACTTAGTCACCTTTTTTTTTTTTTAAACTGAGACAGGGTCTCACTATGTTGCTGAGGCTCGTCTTGAACGCTTGAGTTCTAGTGATCCTTCTGCCTTGGCTCCCCAAAGTGCTGGGATTACAGGCATGTGCCACTATTCCTGGCCAAATCTTGATAGTTCTACACTCTTTTGGGTCTTTCGCTCCTTTGAGAATTCAATAAAAAATATAAAAATTTTTCCAAGGAAGATACAGAAAAAACCAATTTTACACACAATTTTAGTTAATCCCCTGAAGCCAATCTATAGATTCTTTAAGGGCTTTTGGATTGACAGGTTAAGAACTCTTGGCTGGCAGTTCTCTAAGTATTAATCTATCTCTTCTTTTGAGATGAGGTCTCACTCTGTTGCCCAGGCTAGAGTGCAGTGGCGCCATCATGGCTCAATGCAGCCTCCACCTCCCTAGGCTCAGGTGATCATGCCACTTTAGCCTCTCAAGTAGCTGGGACTATAGGTGTGCACCACCACACCTGGCTAATTTTTAAAATTTTTTTGTAGAGGTGGGGTCTTTCTTTTTTTGAAACGGAGTCTCGCTCTGTCTCACAGGCTGGAGTGCAGTGACACAATCTCGGCTCACTGCAAGCTCTGCCTCCCAGGTTCACGCCATTCTCCTGCCTCAGCCTCCCGAGTAGATGGGACTACAGTTGCCTGCCACCACGCCCGGCGAATTTTTTGTATTTTTAGTAGACTTGGGGTTTCACCGTGTTAGCCAGGATGGTTTCGATCTCCTGACCTCGTGATCTGCCCGCCTCGGCCTCTCAAAGTGCTGAGATTACAGGTGTGAGCCACCGCGCCTGGCCTTTTTTTTTTTTTTTTTTTTGAGACGGAGTTTCACTCTTGTTGCCCAGGCTTGAATGCAATAGTGCCACCATGCCTGGCTAATTTTGTATTTTTAGTAGAGATGGGATTTCTCCATGTTGGTCAGGCTGGTCTTGAGCTCCCGACCTCAGGTGATCGAGAGGCAGTCTTTCTGTGTTGCCCAGGCTGGTCAGATCTGTCTTCTCAATTTGCCAGATTTCATATTCTTTCCCCTCAGTTGTCTTTGCTGTTTCTCCCCAAAGAGATTTGCTCTTTGGGTAGTCTTCATTATGGTAGTAGCAGACCTGAATCTAAAAAGGTAGAGTAAGGTGAATTAAAACTGAGGCCGGGCTTGGTGGCTCATGTCTGTAATCCCAGCACTTTGGGAGGCTGAGGCAGGTGGATCACGAGGTCAGGAGATCGAGACCATCTTGGCTAACACGATGAAACCCCATCTCTACTAAAAATGCAAAAAAAATTAGCCGGGCGTGGTGGCGGGCGCCTGTAATCCCAGCTACTCAGGAGGCTGAAGCAGGAGAATGGTGTGAACCTGGGAGGCAGAGCTTGCAGTGAGCCGAGATAGTGCCACTGCAGTCTGGCCTGGGCGAAAGAGCGAGACTCTGTCTCAAAAAAAATAAAAATAAAAATAAAAAATAAAATAAAAAATAAAACTGAGGACTTGATTAGTCATGATGGCTTGTGCTTCTAATCCTAGCATTTTAGGAGGCCAAGGCAGGAGGATCGTTTGAGGCCAGGAGTTCAAGACCAGCCTGGGCAACACAGCAAGACCCCCATCTCTTTAAAAAAAAAAATTAGCTGAGTGTTGTGGTGTACTCTTGTAGTCCTACCTACCTGGGAAGCTGGGGCAGGAGGATTCTTTGAACCTAAGAGTTACAGGTTGCAGTGAGCTATGATCATACACATTGCATTCAAGCCAAGGCAACAGAACAAGCCCCTATCTCAAGAAACAAAAACATAAATATAAAATCTATTTATATTAGAAATATGGCAACATTTGTACAAAGTTGCATGTGTTTTTTCCATTTCTGTTACAGTTTGGGGTTTAGAAAATTCACTTCTTGCGAATTAATATAAAATTAATTTATTTTAGGAAGTACAAATATGTCATCTTATTTGTGTTTTAATTTGTGTAATGGTAACTTGATAGGTTTTTAACCTTTTCCTGCTGCTATAACAGAATATCTTAGACTGGGTAATTTATAAACAATACAATTTTTTTTGTTCACAGTTCTGAAGTCTGGTAAATGTAAGATCAAGGTGCCTGATGAGGGCTTGCACTGTGCTTAAAAGATGGGACCTTCTTGCTGTGTCTTCACATGGCAGAAGGGTAAAAGGGGCAAACAGGTTCTCTTAGGCCTCTCTTATAAGGGCACTAGTCCCATTCATGAGTGCTGTGTCTTCATGACTTCCCTAAGTCCCCATTTCTTTCTTTGTTTTTGTTTTTTTTTTTTGTAACAGAGTCTCGCTCTGTTGCCCAGGCTGGAGTGCAGTGGCTCGATCTCGGCTCACTGCAAGCTCCACCTCCCGGGTTCACGCCATTCTCCTGCCTCAGCCTCCCGAGTAGCTGGGGCTACAGGCTCCCGCCACCACGCCTGGCTAATTTTTTTGTATTTTTAGTAGAGACGGGGTTTCACCATGTTAGCCAGGATGGTCTCGATCTCCTGACCTCATGATCTGCCTGCCTCGGCCTCCCAAAGTGCTGGGATTACAGACGTGAGCCACTGCGCCTGGCCCCAGGCCCCATTTCTTACCAACACATTGGGGATTAGATGTCAGCATATGAATTTTGGAGGGACACAAACATTTAGACCATAGTGGATAGGTCATATCTAGTTATCTAGTGAGATGTTACTGCTTTAGTATGAATTTATGTATACTTAAATAATAACTAGCTACCTCTGCATTGCATATGCAATAAATATTCTGTTAACTGTATTTAAATACAGAAGTTAAAAGTATATTTCTTTTTTTTTTTGAGGCAGGGTCTTGGTCGGTTGACTAGGCTGGAGTGCAGTGGTGTGATCTTGGTTCACTGCAACCTCCATCTCCTGGGTTCAAGCAATCCTGCCCCAGCCTCTCCAGTAGCTGGGTCTGCAGGCATGTGCCACCACACCCAGCTAATTTTTGTATTTTTAATAGAGATGGGGTTTCACCATGTTGTCCAGGCTGGTCTCAAACTCTTGTCCTCAGATGATCCTCTCACCTTGGTCTCCCAAAGTGCTGGGATTACAGACTTGAGCCACTGCGCCTGGCTAATTTTTTCATCTTTGTAATTTCTTGTTCTTTAGTCATTAAAAATATGCATTAAATGCAGAAAAGGACGTTTGTGTGTCGAGTTTTATCATGGGGAATGATTTTGTAAATTGTAAGCATCTGTGTGTGTATGTTGTTACTATCCCTTAATTTAGAATTTTTTAATCCTTTAAGTGTTTTTTTTAGAAAAACTTTAATGCTAGTATTGTACAGACTACTTCTGATAATAAGATGTAACAACCCCCTTAGGAGTAATTGAATGGTTTGAGAAGTTTGTTACAAAGTTAAGGTGGCTTTATTTAAATCTGTGATTGAGTCAGTGATTCTCTGCTCTGGCTGTAAAATAAAATCATCCGGGGCTCCCCTTTTTAAAAAATTGAGGTAAAATTCACCTAACAGGCTGGGCACGGTGGCTTACCCTGTAATCCCAGCACTTTGGGAGGCCAAGGTGGGTGGATCATGAGGTCGAGAGATCGAGACCATCTTGGCCAACATGGTGAAACCCCATCTCTACTAAAAATACAAAAATTAGCCTGGCGTGGTGGCACATGCCTGTAGCCCCAGCTGCTTGGGAGGCTGAGGCAGGAGAATTGCTTGAACCCGGGAGGTGGAGGCTGCAGTGAGCAGAGATCGCACCACTGCACTCCAGCCTGGCAACAGAGTAAGACTCTGTCTCCAAAAAAAAAAAAAAAAAAAAAATTCACCTAACAAAATCTACCATTTCAGTCATTTTAAGTGTACAATTTGGTGGCTTTTAATAAATTCACAGTGTTGTGCAATTACCACTTTCTAATTCCAGAACATTTCTATCATCCCCAAAATAAACCTTATATCCATTAAGCAGTCATTGTACATTTTCCCCTATCTCATCTTCTGGTAATCACTAATCTGCTTTCTGCCTATGGATTTGCCTATTCTGGATGTTTCTTATAAATAGAATCATACAATATGTGCCTTTTATGTCTGGCTTCTTTCGCTTGGCATGTTTTCAAGGTTCATCCATGTTGTAGCATGTATTAATACTTCATTCCTTTTGTTTCCCCATAGTGGCTACACCATTTTACATCCTATCAATAATACAGTGTACTAGAGTTCCAGTTTCTCCAGCATCCTTACCAACACTAGTTATTTTCCATTATTTAAAAAATAGCCAGCCATCAGAGTGGGTATAAAGTGATATTTCATTGTGGTTTTGATTTGCGTTTCCCTCATGATTAATGATTTGAGTTTTTTTTTTTTTTTTTTTTTGGACAGGGGCGTAGTCTGTCACCCAGGCTGGAGTGCTGTGGCACGGATATTGGTTCACTGCAGCCTTGACCTCCTGGGCTCAATTGATCCTCCATCCTCCCACTTGAGCCTCCCAACTAACTGGGACTACAAGTGCGCCACCACATCTGGCTACATTTCGTATTTTTTGTATAGGGTTTTGCCGTGTTTCCTGGGCTGGTCTCAAACTCCTGGGCTTAAGTGATCCACCAGTCTTGGCCTCTCAGAGTTTTGGGATTACAGCCCACTCTGCTGGGCTACTTTTACGTTTGATGTCTTTTTTTTTTGTGAGACAGGGTCTTGCTCTGTTGCCCAGGCTGGAGTGCAGTGGTGTGATCACAGTTTACTGCAGCCTCAACCTCCTGGGCTTAGGTGATCCCTCCTCCTTAGCCTGCCAAGTAGCTGGGACTACAGGCATTAGCTGCCATGCCTGGCTAATGTTTATTTTTATTTTATTTTTTTGAGACAGGGTCCCACTCTGTCACCCAGGCTGGAGGGCAGTGGTGTGGTCTTGGCTCACTGCAACCTCTGCCCTGGGTTCAAGCAGTCCTTTTACCTCAGCCTCCTGAGTAGCTGGGACTACCTGTGTGCACCACCATGCCTGGCTAGTTTTTTTATTTTTATTTTTTGGTAGAGATGGGGTTTCACCATGTTGGCCAGGCTGGTCTCAAACTCCTCACCTCGAGTGATACACCAGCCTCAGCCTCCTAAAGTGCTGGGATTATAAACATGAGCCACTGTGCCCAGCCAGAAATATAATTTTTAAAATTTCAGTTTTGATTGTTTATGTCTAGCATATAGGAATGCAATTGGTTTTTGTATGTTGACTTGTTTCCTGCATTGATACAAGGCAAGATAACCTTGATGAACTGTTGATTTTGTTGTTGTTTTGAGATGGAGTTTCGCTCTTGTCGCCCAGGCTGGAGTGCCAATGGCACGATCTTGGGTCACTGCAACCTCTGCCTCCCGGGTTCAAGTGATTCTCCTGCCTCAGCCTCCCAAGTAGCTGGGATTACAGGCGCCCGCCACCACGCCTGGCTAATTTTTGTATTTTTAGTGGAGACAGGGTTTCACCATATTGGCCAGGCTAGTCTCAAACTCCTGACCTCAAGTAATCTGCCCGCCTCAGCCTCCTGAAGTGCTGGGATTACAAGTGTGAGTCACTGTACCTGGCCTATAATAGTTTTTTAATGTGTTTCTTAGTGTTTTTTTTTAAACACAGGTCATGTCATCTGCAAATCGTGATAGTTTTACTTCTAAGTTGAGTATCTTTTATTTCTCTTTGCTTAATTGTTCTGCCTAGAACCCTAAGTATAATGTTCAATGATTAAAGCAGACATTGTTTTTTTTGAGATAGAACCATGCCCTGTTGCCCAGGCTGCAGTAGCTGGGACCACAGGCATGCCACCATGCTGAGCTAATTTTTTAATTTTTTGTAGAGACAGGGTCTTGCTATGTTGATGAGGCTGGTCTCTTAACTTGTGGGCTCAAGCCATCCTCCTGCTTTGGTCTCCCAAAATACTGGGATTATAGGTGTGAGCCAGTGTGCCCAGCCTTTTTTTTTTTTTTTTTTTGGAGACAGGGTCTTGCTCTGTTGCCCAGTTGCCTAGGCTGAAGTTCATCGGCATGATCATAGCTCATGGCAGTCTCAAACACACTCAAGCTATCCTCCTGCCTCAGCCTCTTGAGTAGCTGGGACTGTAGGTGCTCACCAGTGTGCCTTACTTTTTTTTTTTTTTTTTTTTTTTTTTTTGAGATGAAGTCTTACTCTGGCACCCAGGCCGGAGTGCAGTGGCACAATCTCAGCTCACTGCAATCTCCACCTCCTGAGTTCAAGTGATTCTCCTGCCTCAGCTTCTGGATTAGGTGGGATTATAGTCACACGCCACCACGCCGAGCTAATTTTTGTGTTTTTAGTGGAGATGGGGTTTTACCATGTTGGCCAGGCTGGTCTCGAACTCCTGACCTCAGGTGATCAGCCCACGACGGCCTTCTATCCTGTAGACACAGGATGCCATGTCTTGTCTCTACAAAAAAAAAAATACGTTGCATAGGATGGTCTCAAATTCCTGACCTCAAGTGATCCTCCTGCCTTGGCCTCCCAAAGTGTTGGGATTACAGGGGTGAGCCACTGCGCCCAGCTGAAAGGAAACATTCTTGTCTTGCTCCTTGTCGAAAGGAGAAAGCATTCAGTCTTGTACCTTTAAACATGATGTTAGCTTATTAGTTATGGGATTTTTGTAGAAGTCCTTTATCAGGTTGAGGCATTTGGTATTTAAAAAATCTTAACCTAGTTAACATAGTGAGATCCTATCTTATAAGGAATAAAAAGTAAATTAAATTAGCCAGGTGTGCTGGCACACCCCTGTGGTCCCAGCTGCACAGGAAGCTGAGGTGGGAGGGTTGTTTGAGCCAAGGAGGATGAGGCTGTGGTGAGCTACGATCATGCCACTGCACCCTAGCCTGGGTGACAGAGCGAGACCTTGTCTCAAAAAAGAAAAAAAACTTGTAGGTAAATTATAATATGTAGTCAAGAAAAGCAATTATCTAAATTGATGTTTAAAGAACTAGGATACATGACTATATTATTGATACTGAAATTTCACCATGGAGAATGAGATTTGTATATTTATATAGTTGTTTTTTTTTTTTTTTTGAGACAGAATTCCCCTCTTGTTGCCCAGGCTGGAATGCAGTGGTGCGATCTCAGCTCACTGCAACCTCCGCCTCCCGGGTTCAAGTGATTGTCCTGCCTCAGTCTCCTGAGTAGCAGGGATTACAGGCATGCGCTACCACGCCCGGCTAATGTTTGTATTTTTAGTAGAGACAGGGTTTCACCATGTTGGCCAGGATAGTCTCCAACTCCTCACGTCAAATGATCCACCTGCCTCAGCTTCCCAAAGTGCTGGGATTACAGGCATGAGCCACTGTGCCCAGTCTATGTTTCTCTCTATAGAAAAAAAAACCATTTTTTCCCTATATTTTTCTAAAAAAAATTCCTCTATATTTTTATTTTTTGTATTTATTGATCATTCTTGGGTGTTTCTTGGAGAGGGGGATGTGGCAGGGTCATAGGATAATAGTGGAGAGAAGGTCAGCAGATAAACACATGAACAAAGGTCTCTGGTTTTCCTAGGCAGAGGTCCCTGTGGCCTTCCGCAGTGTTTGTGTCCCTGGGTACTTGAGATTAGGGAGTGGTGATGACTCTTAACAAGCATGCTGCCTTCAAGCATCTTTTTAACAAAGCACATCTTGCACTGCCCTTAATCCATTTAACCCTGAGTTGACACAGCACATGTTTCAGAGAGCACGGGGTTGGGGGTAAGGTTATAGATTAACAGCATCCCAAGGCAGAAGAATTTTTCTTAGTACAGAACAAAATGGAGTCTCCTATGTCTACTTCTTTCTACACAGGCACAGTAACAACCTGATCTCTCTTTCTTTTCCCCACATTTCCCCCTTTTCTTTTTGACAAAACCGCCATCGTCATCATGGCCTGTTCTCGTTGGTCGCTGTCTCTTCGGAGCTGTTGGGTACACCTCCCAGATGGGGCGGCCGGGCAGAGGCACTCCTCACTCCTAGATGGGGCGGCCAGGCAGAGGCACTCCTCACTCCTAGATGGGGCGGCCAGGCAGAGGCGCTCCTCACATCCCAGACGATAGGCAGCCGGGCAGAGGCGCTCCCCACTTCCCAGACGGGGTGGCGGCCGGGCAGAGGCACTCCTCACTTCCCAGACGGGGAGGCCGGGCAGAGGCACTCCTCACTTCCCAGACGGGGCGGCCGGGCAGAGGCACTCCCCATTTCCCAGACGGGGTGGCGGCCGGCAGAGGCGCTCCTCACATCCCAGATGGGCCGGCCGGGCAGAGGCACTCCTCACTTTCCAGATGGGGCGGCCGGGCAGAGGCGCTCCTCACTTCCCATTCGGGGCGGCCGGGCAGAGGCGCTCCTCACTTCCCAGACAGGGCGGCCGGGCAGAGGCACTCCTCACTTTCCAGACAGGGCGGCCGGGCAGAGGCACTCCTCACTTCCCAGACGGGGCGGCCGGGCAGAGGCACTCCTCACTTCCCAGACGGGGCGGCCGGGCAGAGGCGCTCCTCACTTCCCAGACGGGGCGGCCGGGCAGAGGCGCTCCTCACTTCCTCCCAGACGGGGCGGCTGGGCAGAGGCACTCCTCACTTCCCAGATGGGGTGGCCGGGCAGAGGTGCTCCTCACATCCCAGATGGGGTGGCGGCCGGGCAGAGGCACTCCTCACTTCCTCCCAGACGGGGCAGCCGGGCAGAGGCGCTCCTCACATCCAAGACGATGGGCGGCCAGGCAGGGGCTCCTCACTTCCTAGACGGGGTGGCGGCCGGGTAGAGGCGCTCCTGACTTCCCAGACGGGGTGGCCGGGCAGAGGGGCTCCTCACATCCTAGACGATGGGCAGCCAGGCAGAGACACTGCTCACTTCTTAGATGGGGTGGCGGGCGGGCAGAGGCTGTAATCTTAGCACTTTGGGAGGCCAAGGCAGGCGGCTGGGAGGTGGAGGTTGTAGCGAGCCGAGATCATGCCACTGCACTCCAGCCTGGGCAACATTGAGCATTGAGTGAGCGAGACTCCGTCTGCAATCCCAGCACCTCGGGAGGCCGAGGCGGGCAGATCACCCGAGGCCAGGAGCTGGAGACCAGCCCGGTCAACATGGCGAAACCCGGTCTCCACCAAAAATACAAAAACCAGTCAGGAGTGGCGGTGCGTGCCTGGAATCCCAGGCACTTGGCAGGCCGAGGCAGGAGAATCACGGGAGCCTGAGGCAGGGAGGTTGCAGCGAGCCAAGATCGTGGCAGTATCAGCAACAGAGGGAGACTGAAGAAAGGAGGGAGAGGAGGAGGGGGAGGGGGAGAGGGAGAGGGCTATATTTTTAATGAGTAGTAGACAAGTTAAGAAATGCAGTTTTGCTTCTGTTAGATAGGGTTATCTTTTTCTTTTACAAGATTAAATTGAGGCTGGGCATGGTGGCTCACTCCTGTAACCCCAACACTTTGGGAGGCCAAGGCGGGCAGATGACCTGAGGTCAGGAGTTCAATACCAGCCTGGCCAACATGGTGAAACCCAGTCTCTACAAAAATACAAAAATTAGGCTGGATGTGGTGGCTCATGTCTGTAATCTCAGCACTATGGGAGGCTGACACGGGTGGATCACCTGAAGTGAGGAGTTTGAGACCAGCCTGGCCAACATGGTGAAACTCTGTCTGTACTAAAAATGCAAAAATTAGCCAGTGTGGTGGCGTGTGCCTGTGGTCCCAGCTACTCGGGAGGCTGAGGCAGGAGGATTGCTTGAACCTGGGAGGCAGCGGTTGCAGTGAGCCAAGATCGTGCCATTGCACTCCAGCCTGGGCAACAAAGCGAGACCATCTCAAAAAAAGACTAAGTTGAATAGCTTCTAGAAAACTTATACTTTAAGTAAATTATGATCTTTTTATTCTAGACAAAATTATTGTCCTTTTATTCTAGACAAAAGGATGCCACGGAGAAAGAAAAAAGTTAAAGAAGTCTCCGAATCTCGGAACCTGGAGAAGAAGGATGTGGAAACTACCAGTTCTGTCAGTGTGAAGAGGAAGCGTAGACTTGAGGATGCATTCATTGTGATATCCGATAGTGATGGAGAGGTTAGTGAAGTAGAGCTGAAAAGTAGAGCTGTAGCTCTCAAACTATGCTTCTTTACCCATGGGGAGTTTGTTTCGTGACTGACTTCACCTTAATGCCAGCTCACCAAAACCATGAAATTTTTACTCAGCTTTGTTTTAATTTGTAAATGGAATGAAGAATTACTTAAGGTAGTAATCCTGTTGCTTGGTTGAGGATGGATCATAGTTCTTCAGTTTTATAATATAGTAATCCAAAGTGGCATTTTGGAACTATTTGAATCATCTAAATCAATTGTAAATCTTAGTTTTCATGTGTCTAGAAAGTGAGAGGAAAAACACGTGAATGTTCTTAAGTCTCTTGATATGTTCTACATATAATAGCACCTAGCCATCTGTAGCTGTTTAAAAATAACTAAAATTAAAAATCAGCTTCTCTGTTGCACTAGTCACATTTCAAGTGATTAAAGACACATAAGGCTAGTGTCAGTTGTATTAGACAGCAGAGCTATACAACATTTTTATCATTTTAGAAAGCTTTATTCTCCGGAATAAAGATTGTAACCTTTTTCCTTTATCCTGTATTTCTATTTGTTTATTGGAGTTTTCTGCCTGCCTGCAGGTCTCATCTCAAAGGCAGTGAATTAAGTCATTGTTTTTTCCTTCAGATTTTCTTCTCTTTCTCCTATATATTTTTTTTTTCTAGAGCCAGGGTCTCCCTCTGTCACCTAGGCTGGAGTGCAGTGGTGTTAGCTCAGCTCACTCCACCTTCCTTCTCCTGGTCCCACCTCAGCCTCCCATGTAGTTGGGACTACAGGCTCAAGCCATTATGCCTGGCTAATTTTTGTATTTTTTTTTGTAGAGATGGGGTTTCGCCATGTTGCCCAGGATGGTATCAAACTCCCATCCTCAAGCAATCCTGCCTAGGCCTCCTGAGGTGCTGGGGTTACAGATGTGAACCACTGCATCTGGCCAAAAAATGACATATTTTTGGTTAGCAAGATTGAGCATTTCTTTACATCTTTATTGATTTTTCAGAAACGTTTCTTGGCCGGGCACGGCAGCTCACACCTGTAATCCTAGCACTTTGGGAGGCCGAGGCGAGTGGATCACAAGGTCAGGAGATCGAGACCATCCTGGTTACCACAGTGAAATCCCATCTCTACTAAAAATACAAAAAATTAGCCAGGTGTGGTGGCACGTGCCTGTAGTCCCAGCTACTTTGGAGGCTGAGTCAGGAGAATTACTTGAACCCTGGAGGCGAAGCTTGCAGTGAGCCGAGATTGCGCCACTGCAGTCTAGCCTGGGTGACAGAGGGAGACTCCGTCTCAAAAAAAAAAAAAAAAAACCAACAAAACAAAAAGTTCCTTATAGTTCAGTTTTTAATTAGGACTTTTATCTACATAGTTCATTTTAAAGGCATAAGCGTATAGAGAAGAAAACAAGGGGTAGGTACATCCCTGGTGACTCATCCCTATAATCCCAGTGCTTCGGGAAGCTTAGACAGGAGGATTGCTTGAGGCCAGGCGTTTGAGACCAGCCTGACCAACATAGTAAGACCCTGTCTCTACAAAAAATACAAAACTTAGCTGGGCATGGTGGCGTGTGCCTGTAGTCCCAGATACTTGGGAAGCTGAGGCAGGTGGGAGAATTGCTTGAGCCTAGGAGTTCAAGGAGTTTGAGGCTGCAGTGAGCTATGATTGTACCACTGCACTCCATCTAAAACAGAAAGAAAACAAAACAATTGTATTACTTGGATATCATCTTAATATTAACAAAAATAAAAATATTAAATACACAGATACAGATATGTTAAAAAAAATTGTATACATATATGTTTAAAAAAAAATCCAAGCCATAACATAACAGTTTAGAAAGATATGAAATGAAAATGTACACTACAGACATTTAACCATAAGCAATAATTTCTTTTTCATTTTTAAAATAATTTCTTGATGTCATCTGTGTGATCTGAAGGCAGTAATTTCTTCTGTGTCCTCGGAAAAAAAATTTTGTGCATACATTATCAGTAGAGATTTTTACAGGAAAAGAACCATGCTGTGGAAACTGTTTTGCTTTTTTTCACTTAATGTCTGTGTTAGGTCCTCCAGAGACATGGAACCAATAGGATAGGCGGATGGATGGATGGATGGATGGACGGATGGACGGATGGACGGATGGACGGACAGAAGGACGGACAGAAGGGTGGATGGATGGAAGGACAGATGGACAGACGGATGGAATTTATTAGGGGAATTGGCTCATTCAATTATGGAGGTTGAAAAGTCCCCACAATAGTCTATTTGCAAGCTGGATACCCTGGGATGCCAGTAGTATGGCTCAGTGGAAGTCTGAAGGCCTGAGGACAAGGGGTAAGGGGTGCTGAGTGTTAAGGCCTGAAATCCAAGGCTTGGAGAGCCTGGAATTCTGATGTCCAAGGGTAGAAGAAGAATGTGTCCCAGCTCCAGGAGAGAGACAAATTTGCCTTTCCTATGTTTTTATTCTATTTAGCCCCCCAGCCAGTTGGATGGTGTTCACCCACATTGAGTGCAAATCTTCCCCACTTAGTCACTCAGACTGACACTCTAATCTCCTCTGCAAACACCCGGACAGACACACCAGAAAATAATACTTTACTAGTTCTCTGGGTATTTCTTACTCCAGTCAAACTGATACTAAAATTAACCATTATAGTATTTCCGGGAGACCTTTCTATAGCAGCACATATGTCATACGTCATATATGTTATGCATACAGGAATGTGCATAAAATATAAATGCATGGTTTTAAAAATTAATGTGAACACTTGCAGTTACCACCTGAGAATCCCTCTTCTCTTAGTGTGTCCCTTCCCAATTGCATTCTTTTCCACCTTTCTTTTTTTTTTTTTGAGATGAAGTCTCGCTTTGTTGCCTAGGCTGGAGTGTAGTGGTGCAATCTCGGCTCACTGCGACGTCCGCCTCCCAGGTTCAAGCGATTCTCCTGCCTCAGCCTCTTGAGTAGCTGGGATTACAGGCGCCACCACGCCTGGCTAATTTTTGTATTTTTAGTAGAGATGAGGTTTCACCATGTTGGCCAGGCTGGTCTCAAACTCCTGACCTCAGGTGATACACCCCAAAGTGTTGGGATTACAGGCGTGAGCCACCGCACCCAGCTCTTTTCCACCTTTCTAAAGGTAACGACTATGTATTCTATCTTCCCATGTTTCTCCTTACAGTTTTACCACATTTACATGTATCCCTGAACAGCATACGTATATTTTGAAAAACTAAGTATTGGTGATTAGACATATCTACCAACACTTTCCAATAATCTCTCCATTCCCCAGGTATTTGAAATTTTACCTTTATCATAAACTAAAATCTTGTTTATAAATGGGTGTGTCTCTGTTTTTCTTCCGTTAATCTGTCACATATTTTTATAATTGTTCAGTTGATTGTCTTGGGTATTTTAGGTAGGCATTTATCTCTGCTAATAACTATCATTTTTTCTCTTACTCTCTAGCACTTACACCTTTTTTTGCTTGTTTTCATTGCGTTGGCTGTAGCTTCCAGAATAATGTTGATTGATACTAGCAATAGAGCACATCTTTTACTTCTGATGTTTTGCTATTTGTTTCATATTTCCGTTTTTATGTTAAGGAACTATCCTTTAATTGCTTATTTACTAGTAGTGGTTTTAGGAATTATGTTTAATCAGATGTCCTTTATTTAGCAAGATGATGGAGTAGTTTTTCTCCTTTAATCAACTAATATTATATATGGGATTAGTATTTTCTAATGTTGGAACATCTTTGCATTTCTGAAATAAATCATACTTGGTCATGATGTGTTATGTTAATATAATATTGATTTTTTTCTCAATATATTATTTAGGAGTTTTGCATCTGTACTCCTAGTGCCATTGGCTTTATAAAGTTTTTTTTGGGGGGCGCTATGGCCTTCATCAGATGTTAGTATTAGGGTTATGATATAAAAGAGAAGGAAAGCTTATTATTTTTTTCTATGTCCTACCACAATTTAAATAGTATAGGAATTATTTGTTTTATAGGGTTTCCTAAAAATCTCCCATAAAACCGGGCTACCAAATGATTTTTATTTTATTTTATTTTATTTTTTTTGAGACAGAGTCTCGCTCTGTCGCCCAGGCTGGAGTGCGGTGGCGCCATCTCTGCTCACTGCAAGCTCCGCCTCCTGGGTTTACACCATTCTCCTGCCTCAGCCTCGCGAGTAGCTGGGACTACAGGCGCCTGCCACCACGCCTGGCTAGTTTTTTTTGTATTTTTAGTAGAGACGGGGTTTCACTGTGGTAGCCAGGATGGTCTCGATCTCCTGACCTCGTGATCCGTCCGCCTCGGCCTCCCAAAGTGCTGGGATTACAGGCGTGAGTCACCGCACCCGGCCTACCAACTGAGTTTTAATATGTATTTCATATTCTTATAGTGTCTTGGTATTTTTGTATATGAAAAAAAGTCTTTTTTTCTGCTTTAGAATAGAAAAAAGCAGCTGGAATAATCTTAGGAAGACGTTTGTTTTTTGTTTTTGTTTTGTTATTATTTTTATTTTTTTATATGTATTTTTTTGAGATGGAGTCTCGCTCTGTTGCCCAAGCTGGAGTGCAATGGCATGATATCAGCTCACTGCAACCTCTGCTTCCCAGGTTCAGGTGATTCTGCCTGCCTCAGCCTGCGGAGTAGCTGGGATTACAGGTGCCTGCCACCACACCTGCGCAATTTTTGTATTTTTAGTAGAGAGGGGGTTTTACCATGTTGGCCAGGCTGGTCTCAAACTCCTGACCTCAGGTGATCCACCCAGCTTGGCCTCCTAAAGTGCTGGAATTACAGGTGTGAGCCACTGCGCCTGGCCTTTTTTGTTTCTGTTTTTTTTTTTCTTTTCTTTTTTTTTTTTTTTGAGATGGAGTCTTGCTCTGTCATCCAGGTTGGAGTGCAGTGGCACAGTGACGTGATCTCGGCTTACTGCAATCTCCATTAATAGTATGTACTTTATATGATTTGAATCATTTTTAAACTTAGTGAGACTTGTTTTATGGCCCAGAATATTCTGTGTGTACTTGAGAAGAACGCACGTTTTGGATAGTGATTTCTGTAAATGTCAATCTGATGAAGTTTGATGATAGTGTTGTTCAAATCTACTTTATATTTATTGGTTTTCTGTCTATTCTACAAATATTTTGAGGAGGCTGTTGAAGTCTTTGACCATAGTTGTGGATTTGTCTTATTTCTCTCTCTCTCTTTTTTTTTTTTTTTTTTGAGACAGAATCTTACTCTCTTGCCCCAGGCTGTAGAGCAGTGGCGCGATCTTGGCTCACTGCAACCTCTGCCTCCCGGGTTCAAGTGATTCTCATGCCTCAGTCTCCTGAGTAGCTGGGATTACAGGCATATGCCACCACGCCTGGCAAATTTTTGTATTTTTAGTAGAGATTGGGTTTCACTATGTTGGCCAGGCTGGTCTCGACCTCCTGACCTCAGGTGATCCGCCTGCTTGGGCCTCCCAAAGTGCTGGGATTACAGGCGTGAGCCACTGCGCCTGGCCCACAGTTAATTTTAGAACATTTTTACCCTCCATGGCCACTGCCCTCGTCAGCCTCACCCCACACTATACTGTGCCAGTCTCCACGGCCCAGTAGCAGGGGCCTAGAACATTTTCATTACTCCCAGAAAAAACCCATTTTCATTAGCAGTTACTCTCCATTTTCCCCCAAACCCCTAGCCCTTGACAACCACTGATCTACTTTCTATATGGATTTGCCCATTCTGGGCATGTCTTATAAATGGAATTATACAATATATGTGGCCTTTTGTCTGACTTCTTTCAATTATATATTTTCAAGGTACATTCATTTCGTAGTGTGTATCAGTACCTCATTTCTTTTTTTTCCACAGTGGGGGCACTGTTTTATATTCCCACCAACAGTGTACTAGGGTTCCGGTTTTTGTAATCCTTGCCAATGCTTATTTTCTTATTTGAAACAAAAATTATTTTAATTATCCTAGTGGGTGTGAAGTGATACCTTATTGTGGTTTTGACTTGTATTTCCCTGATGACTAATGATACTGGGCATCTTTTCATGTACTTCTTGGACATTTCTATATCTTCATCTTCAGAGAAATTCTTTTCAAACCCTTTGCCCAGTTTTATTTTTATTTATTTATTTTTAGAGATGAGGATGTTGCTTTGTCTCCCAGGCTGGAATATCGTGGTGCGATCTTAGCTTGCTGCAGCCTGGAAGTCTTGGGTTCAAGCGATCCATCTGCTCCAGCCTCCTGAGTAGCTAGGACCATGCCTGGCTAATTTAAAAAAAATTCTTTTTAATTAAAAAATAAATAAATTTTTTTGGGGGTTAAGGACAGGATCTCTCTACATTGCCCAGGCTGGTTTTGAACTGGCCTCAAGCGATTCTCCCACTTCAGCCTCCCAAAGTGCTGGGATTACAGGCATGAGCCACTGTGCTTGGCCTTTTATTTCTTTCTCTATTTTATTTTTTGTTTTCTTGATTATTTTGTTTGCGTTTCTTATTAAATTTTAGGGTGGGGTGTAGGGTTGGTGTATTTGGTTCTCTTTTGCTTCTATAGGATTTTTCATTTACCCTCTTTTTCCTTTCCTTTACTATCCATTGTCCAAAAGAGTGATTTAAAATAAATGAATACACGCTGAGTTTAAACATTATTATTGTTTTTTCATATCTTCAATCAAGCTACTCTGATCTTTGGTGATGCTTACTGGTATTTTAGAGATAGACTAGTTTTTGTCTGACTGTTTATATGACAGATAATAATGCCAATATATCACATTTTTGTTCTTACAGTTTTTATTGGTTCTAGATCTTATGTTTTCCCTTTTGTACTGAAAAGGATCTTCTAATGTTTTATGTGCATATTTATAACAATCACCAATTCCTCAGAGGCCTCTCTTAGCCATAGGGGAGGTAGAAGAGAGAGAAATCACTACTTTTAGTGGCAGCCACACTGATGATATTTCTTGTTTTGCAACAGGAACCAAAGGAGGAAAATGGGTTGCAGAAAACGAAGACAAAACAGTCGAATAGAGCAAAGTGTTTGGCCAAAAGAAAAATCGCACGTATGTTTTCATTTTGTTGATAATGGTTTGGGAATTGTAATAGTCATAGAACTGATACATTTTGGACTAGTTGATTATGTTGCATTCTTAGGTCTCTGATAGATTCAAGAAAAGTTGTGAATTTATCAGTTTTTGTTGCTATTGTTGTAAGGATTGGAACAATAACTTTTTTCAGTTTCCTGTATCTTCAGTGGAAGCCAGAAGTGGTCATTCTGAATCTTTAAAAAAATTTTTTTAAATTTATTTTTTTTTTAGAGACAGGATCTCACTCTGTCACCCAGGCTTAAGTGTAGGGGTATGGTATGATCATAGCTAACTGCAGCCTTGAACTCATTGGCTCAAGTGATTCTCCTGCCTCAGCTTCCCAACTATGCCCCACGACGCCTGGCTAATTTTAATTTTTTTTTTAACACAGGGTCCTGCTGTGCTGTCCAGGCTCATCTCAAACTCCTGGCCTCAAGCAATCCTCCAGCTTGGGCCTCCCAGTGTTGGGATTACAGGTGACAGCCACCAGTTAGCCCCCATTCTGAACTTACAGAGCAGCAAAATCTGTTTTTATGATTCCTTTTTATTTTTTTTTTTGAGACGGAGCATCGTGCTCTGTCACCCGGGCTGAGTGTGCTGGCGTGATCTTGGCTCACTGCAACCTCTGCCTCCCGGGTTCATAACGATTCTCCCACCTCAGCCTCCTGAGTATATGGGCCTACAGGCACATGCCACTACACTCTGCTAATGTTTGCCAGGCTAGTCTCCAGCTCCTGACCTCAAGCGATCCACCCGCCTCAGCCTTCCAAAGTGCTGGGATTATAGGCATGAGCCACCATGCCTGGCTAGAACAGAAGTTTTAAACTTTGATGTGGTCCATTTTTTTCTCTTTTATGGTTTTTTTTCTTTCTATGTCCTAAGAAATCTTTGACTACGCTAAGGTTATGAAGATTTCCACCTATTTTCTTCTGGAAATTTTATAGTTTTAGCTTTAGCATTTAGATTTCTGATCTATTTTGAGTTTTTGTATATGGTGCAAGGTAAGAATTAAGGTTCATTTTTTTCCCATATGGATATCCAATCATTCTTGTACCATTTGCTGGAAAGACTGTCCTTTCCTTGTGTTGAAAATCAATGCATGGGTCTATTTCTGAATTTTCTGTTCTTTTCCATTTATTTATGTTTGTCATTATGCCATACCACACTGTCTTGATTAATGTAGCTTTATAATGTCTTAAAATCAGGTAGTATAATTCTTCCAACTTTATTTTAAAAATTGTTTTGATTAATTTGGGTCCTTTGCATTCCTATATAAATTTAATTTTATTATTTGTTTATTACTACTGTTTTTTGAGGCAGGGTCCTACTCTGTCGCCCAGGCTGGAATATAGTGGTGTGACTGCAGCACTGTAGCCTCAACCTCCTAGGCTCAAGTGATCCTCCAGCTTTAGCCTCCTGAATAGCTGGGACTAACAGGCATGCATCACCATACCCAGCTAATTTTTTTTTCTTTCTTTTTGAGACAGGGTCTCCCTCTGTTGTCCAGGTTGGAATGCAGTGGCTCACTACAACCTCTGCCTCCTGGGCTCAAGTGATCCTCTCATCTCAGCCTCCCAAGTAGCTAGGACCACAGGTGTATACCACCACATCCAGCTAGTTTTTTATTATTTGTAGAGACAAGATCTCACTATGTTGCCTAGGCTGGTCTCGAACTGCTGGGCTTAAGTGATCTTCCCACCTCTGCCTCCTGAGTAGCTGAGACTGTAGGTGTGCATCACTACACCCAGCTATTTTTTAAAATTTATTTTTTTCTTTTCTTTTTTTTTTTTTTGAGACAGGGTCTCACTTTGTCACCTATGCTGGAATGCATTGGTGTGATCTTGGCTCACTGCAGCTTCGACCACCTGGACTTGAGCAATTATAGGCATGAGCCACTGTACCTGGCCCTGTTTTTCATTGTTACTCTCCTGAGGTGCCTTTTTAGACTATTTTTCCCTCTAACCACTGCCATCCCCATGATATTTTTAATACCACAGATAAGCTTTGTATTCCGTTTTATGTACTGATTGTATGTCTGTATCTTATATATAAAAAGATTTTTATTTTATTTTATTTTTGCCTCCAAGAACCAATTTTTGTCCACTTGGGGATGGTATCACTCTTGTTGAGAATGCATGATAGAAGTTGCCAGACTTGGCCATGCCCAGTGGCTCATGCCTGTGATCCCAGCACTTTGGGAGGCCGAGGCGGGTGGATCACCTGAGGTCAGGAGTTTGAGACCAGCCTGGCCAACATGGTGAAACCTCGTCTCTACTAAAAATACAAAAATTAGCCGGGCCTGGTGGCAGGCACCTATAATCCCAACTACTTCGGAGGCTGAGGGAGGAGTATCGCTTGAACCTGGGAGGCAGAGGTTGCAGTGAGCTGAGATCACGCCACTGCACTCCAGCCTGGGCAACAGAGAGAGACGCCATTTCAAAAAAAAAAAAAAAGAAGTTGCCAGACTTACTGGTATAAAATCATTCATAGTATTCCCTTATTTATTCTTTTAGTGACTGTAGAATTTATAATCTTGTTTCCTCTTTTATTGTCGGTATTGTTAATTGTTGTTGTGTTTTTGTTCTTGAGCAGTTAAGAGGTTTATGCATTTTAATTTTTTAATTTTTTAATTTTTTGAGATGGAGTCTTGTTCTGTCGCCCAGGTTAGAGCGCAGTTGCGTGATCTTGGCTCGCTGCAACCTCCGCCTCCCGGGTTTAAGCGATTCTCCTACCTCAGCCTCCCGAGTAGCTGGGATTACAGGCGCCTGCCACCACGCCCAGCTAATTTTTGTATTTTTAGTAGAGATGAGGTTTCACCATGTAGGCCAGGCTGGTCTCAAACTCCTGACCTCAGGTGATCTGCCTGGCTTGGCCTCCCAAAGTGCTGGGATTACAGGCATGAGTCACCGCTCCTGGCCGAGGTTTATGCATTTTATTGACCTTTTTGTAGAATTGATTTTTTTTTTTTTTTGAGACGGAGTCTCACTCTGTTGCCTAGGCTGGAGTGCAGTGGCGCATCTCTGCTCACTGCAAGCTCTGCCTTCAGGGTTCACGCCATTCTCCTGCCTCAGCCTCGTGAGTAGCTGGGACTATAGGCGCTCACCACCATGCCTGGCTGATTTTTTGTATTTTTTTAGTAGAGACGGGGTTTCACCGTGTTAGCCAGGATGGTCTCGATCTCCTGATCTCATGATCCGCCTACCTTGGCCTCCCAAAGTGCTGGGATTACAGGCGTGAGCCACCGCGCCTGGCCTGTAATAATTCTATAAAGAGGAGCTTTTAATTTGCTTGGTTACCCAGTAGTATAGCTTGTGTAGAAAAAGTAGGATAAAAGCAATTCTATTATTTTATCAGTTTTCAAATAGTGGATTCACTGACATTCTTCAACAGTGACTGGTTAGTCTATGTATTTTTAAAAAATATTAGTATGAACTTACAGTTGTTTTTGTTTTTGGTTTTTTTGAGATGGAGTCTTGCTTTTGTCACCTAGGGTGGAGTGCAATGGCATGGTTTCAGCTCATTGCAACCTCCGCCTCCCGGGTTCAAGTGATTCTCCTCCCTCAGCTTCCCAAGTAGCTGGGATTACAGGCACCCACCACCATGCCTGGCTAATTTTTGTGTTTTTAGTAGAGACAGGGTTTCACCATGTTGTCCGTGATGGTCTCGAATTCCTGACCTCACATGATCCTCCCACCTTGGCCTCCCACAGTGGTGGGATTACAGGCGTGAGCCACCACGCCTGGCCTTAACTTACAGATTTAAATATATTTGATGTGATTTAAAGCATTGCATTCATTATCTTTATTGATGCTTCGGTTCCATTTTTGGCCAGTGAGGACTTTATTTAATTGGCTCCTAAGTTCTTTCGATATGACTCTAGTAGTGTCTAATAGAGTCTTTGCTTAATAGTGTCTAGTAGTGTCTAATACAGTGACAAATATTCTAGCTCATCTTGTTCATTTCATGCTTTGGACTTGGGACCCAGCCATTTCTTCAGTGTACCCCGGTTCCTTTTAAATGAAAAATGGTGTCTGGAGACCACATTCTTGTCACTAGGGATGTTCTTTTCTACTGGGTAAATCAGAGGATTCTGAAGAGTAAAATTGTTCTGGCTAAATGTTGAGCATAAAGCGTTGCGGTATTTAGCAAAAAGCTCTAGAGTGGGCATTAATTCCTCTGTTTATTCATTTAGCAGATATTTATTACGTACCATGTGCCCTGCACTTTTTTATGTGCTGGAGGTATAACAGTGAACAGTGTAGGTAAAAACTCTGCCTTCATGGGAGCTTACAGCCTAGTTAACCCAAGATTCTTGTTGTAACTGCTGCTAATTATCTTGGCCAACACCTTTCCTTCTGGGGTTTTCCTCATTTACAAGATTATAAAATTGTACTAAGTGGTCTGGTAGTGTCTTCAGTTGAAAAGTTTAATAATTCTCTTTCTTGCCTCCATGATTATTCAGTGTTTGTGGTGTTCCTCCTTCTCTTTTCCCTATCCTCTTACAGAGATGACAGAAGAAGAACAGTTTGCTCTGGCTCTCAAAATGAGTGAGCAGGAAGCTAGGGAGGTGAACAGCCAGGAGGAGGAAGAAGAGGAGCTCTTGAGGAAAGCCATTGCTGAAAGCCTGAATGTAAATATGCCATGTTGCAAAAGTTTGTGGAGATTGATCAGCTATATTTTTGACTTCTGTGGTGTTGTAGTTGCATTAGGAACTAGCTGTAGTCATTTATAGGGTTTTCACCTAACAAAAATTCCCATAGTAATTTTTTAAAGTCTGTGTTGAATTGTTGGTTAACCCAATTTAAAGTATTTTGTTAATTCTATATGAAAGAGTTTTCTTCCACCCCATGGATTTTTTAGTTCATGGTTGAAAGAATTATCATAAGTTGACAGCTTCTGAAAAGACTTACTGAATACCAAGAACCAGAAGGCAGCAAGATAAGATGCTAACTTCTCTAGTATTGTGGGAGAGCAAAGGGAATGAGAACTAGAGGTGGATTATGGGAAGAAAGAATGGGCAGTTTTAAAAAAATAATGAAATAAAGTTAAATTGTCATTTGAATATGCACAACTGAATTTTTTTTTTTTTTTTTTTTTTTTGAGATGGAGTCTCACTCCATTGCCCAGGCTGGAGTGCAGTGGCACAATCTTGGCTCACTGCAAACTCCGCCTCCTGGGTTCAAGCAATTCTCCTGCCTTAGCCTCCCAAGTAGCTGGGATTATAAGCCCCCACCACCACACCCAGCTAATTTTTTGTATTTTCAGTAGAGACTGGGTTTCACCATGTTGGCCAGGCTGGTCTGGAACTCCTGACCTCAGGTGATCTGCCTGCCTCAGCCTCCCAAAGTGCTGGGATTACAAGCATTAGCCACCTCGCCCAGCCTGAAATGATTTTAAATGTGAAGGATACTTGCCAGTGGCAGGTCCTGAACCATCTTTTTATGCCATTTGCCTCCCTGTTTTAAAAAAGGGTTTAGTATAGTGATCTAGTACAACACTTTGCACATAGACATTCAGCATATGCTGTGAAATTAAATTGAGCCATTTACATTTTAGAAAGAGAAAGTCTTATGAACGGTGGCCTCCCATTTTGTCCTTCCTGTGACCCTTCATATATAGTTATTTTAATAATAAACCTGGTCTGGTATGGGATCACTTGTTTCAGAGTTGCCGGCCTTCTGATGCTTCCGCTACCAGATCTCGACCTCTGGCCACTGGACCGTCTTCCCAGTCCCATCAAGAGAAAACCACAGACTCTGGGCTCACTGAAGGCATGTCTCCCTGTTCTGACTCCTTCCATTCATCAAGTATAACTGTACCACAGGGATCTCATGCTGAGAGTAGATACACGGAAATACCCCAGATCCTTTTGGTGATAATAAAGAAGTTAAATCAGGAAGTAGTTGAGATCATAAGAATATCCGGCATACTTTTATCTCCAAGGAAAAACCAACATTTGGTTAAACCCAAAGAAGAGCCTTTCTTACCCATATTATGTAATTCTTGGTAAGTGATAACTTACCAAGCCCTCTTAATAAAAAAGTTTGTCCTTAGCCCTACTTTTTCTCAAATACCTACAGGCATATGGCAGCTGGTACCTCCATCACTGTTTAAAGGCTCACATATCAGTCAGGGAAACGAGGCTGAGGAAAGAGAGGAGCCTTGGGACCACACTGAAAAAACTGAAGAGGAGCCGGTCTCTGGCAGCTCAGGAAGCTGGGACCAGTCAAGCCAGCCAGTGTTTGAGAATGTGAACGTTAAATCTTTTGACAGATGTACTGGCCACTCGGCTGAGCACACACAGTGTGGGAAGCCACAGGAAAGTACTGGGAGGGGTTCTGCTTTTCTCAAAGCTGTCCAGGGTAGCGGGGACACATCTAGGCACTGTCTACCTACCCTAGCAGATGCCAAAGGTCTCCAGGACACTGGGGGCACTGTGAACTATTTCTGGGGTATTCCATTCTGCCCTGATGGAGTAGACCCTAACCAGTATACCAAGGTCATTCTCTGCCAGTTGGAGGTTTATCAAAAGAGCCTGAAAATGGCTCAGAGGCAGCTCCTTAATAAAAAAGGTTTTGGGGAACCAGTGTTACCTAGACCTCCTTCTCTGATCCAGAATGAATGTGGCCAAGGAGAGCAGGCTAGTGAGAAAAATGAATGCATCTCAGAAGATATGGGAGATGAAGACAAAGAGGAGAGGCAGGAGTCTAGGGCATCTGACTGGCACTCAAAAACCAAGGATTTCCAGGAAAGCTCAATTAAAAGCTTGAAAGAGAAACTTTTGTTGGAGGAAGAACCAACAACCAGTCATGGTCAGGTAAGGGTCAGTGATGCTGTAATTAAGGATGATTTATTCACAGATTAAAACAAGGATTATTTTAGCTGTTATTTTTGTGGTCTTCCCCTCCTTGATTATTAAAGTAATACATGTTCACTATAGAAAATTAGGAAAGTACAGGAGAGTATAAAGAAGAAAAAAACTACCATTTTTTTTTTTTTGAGTTGGAGTCTCGCTCTGTCTCCCAGGCTGGAGTGCAATGGCGCAATCTTCGGCTCACTGCAATCTCCACCTCCCGGGTTCAAGCAGTTCTCCTGCCTCAGCCTTCCAAGTAGCTGGGATTACAGGTGCTTGCCACTATGCCCTGCTAATTTTTGTACTTTTAGTAGAGACGGGGTTTTACCCTGTTGGCTAGGCTGGTCTTGAACTCCTGACCTTGTGATCTGCATGCCTTGGCCTCCCAAAGTGTTGGGATTACAGGCGTGAGCCACCACACCTGGCCAGTCATCATTTCTATGCATACAAAAATACATGAAAAAATTTTTTGAACAAAATGAAGACTCTTCTGTGTTAAGTTTTGTTCCTCTCCCTACTTTATAGTTTATCTTAGATCATTTCTTAATAGATGACTTATTCTACCATAGATAAACCATAATTTATTTTTTGTATAAATTTTTTTTTTTTTTTTTTAAAGACAAGGTCTCGCTCTGTCACCCAGGCTAGAGTGCACCGATGCCATCTTGGGTCCCTGCAGCCTCCACCTCTGGGATCAAGCGATCCCCCAACCTCAGCCCGTCGCAATAGCTGGGACCATAGGTGCACGCTACTACGCTGAGCTAATTTTTATATTTTTTGTAGAGATTGAGTTTCACTTTGTTGCCCAGGCTGGTCTCGAACTCCTGTACTCAAGCCATCCACCTACCTTGTTCTCCTGAAGTGTTGGCAGTGTAGGCATGAGCCAACACGCCTGGTCTAAAAATTATTATTATTTCTGAAAGGTTAAATTTTTGAATAGGTAACAATATTCACATGGCTCGAAATTCAAAAATATATAAGTAAAAAGTCTTAACTTTTCTCCCTATCACCTAGCCAGCCAGTTCCCCTCTCTGGACTCAAATTTGTGTTACTAGTTCTAGTGTATCCTTCCAAGATACTTTATCTGGTACAAGCAGAATACATTTTCTTTTCCCTGCCTTCTTTTACACAAATGATTTACACATTATTTTCTACTTTTTTCATTTAATATCCTAATGAGATCATTACATAACAGTATATAAAGAATTTCTTCATCTTTTTTTTTTTTTGGATGTGAAAAATACCATGTGTGGATTAGTCAGAGTTTACTGTTACAGATAGTAAAATGTCCAGAAGACATTTCATCCACATGGAAGATATTTGTATTATATGATAATTTTCTGTAGCTGTAATTGGTGGACCAAAAAATGTATTTATAATTTCATTAGCTGTTGCCAAATTGCCCTCCATAGAGATCATATACATTTACATTCCCACTGGCAGTGTATGAATACTAGTTTCTCCATACCTACAGTAATGCAGTATTGTCAGACTTCTTGATCTTTGCCAGTCTGAGAGATGAAAAATGGCGTCTCAGTGTAGTCTTAATTTGCGTATCTCTTACTATTTGTGAGGCTGAACTTTTTTCTCACATGTCTAAGACCCATTTGTATTTCCTTTTCTGTCTGTTAGATCTTATGATCATTTTTTCTTTTGATAATCTATTGGTTTGTGGATACACTTTATATAGTAGAGAAAGTAGTCCTTTGTGATATGAAGTATGGATAGTTTCCGAGTTATTTTTTCCCATTACATAATGGTGTATATTTATTATTTTGCTTGTAGTGGTTTTGAATAATTTATTGAAACCAATCTTCATCTTGGTACATTTAGTTTGCTTTTTCTGAAGTAGCTAGATTATATTGTGTATGAAAGCTTATATCTTATTTTTCCCTTTGAATATTATAAAGCAATAATATAAACTCTTTATATATAAATTGTAATTTTAAAGAGTATTCTGTTTTATGACTATACTGTTTTTTCTTGCTATTTCTGTTACCAGACTTTGACTTTTGGTTTTGTTTTACTATTATGTTATTCTGTCTTTCTTGTGTTATGATAAAGGTTCAAGAAATGGTAACTTTGAGGAGCTTCATAGAATAGAGAACATGGATTTGGAGTTGAGTTCTGATTTTTGTGTTTAGTAATTTGTGTGTTTTTGAGCAAGTCACTTAACCTCTTTGAATCCCAGTTTCACGTCTATACAGTGGGAATAACAATTCCTATCTTTCGACAGTTATTTTAATGATTAAAGTGAATTTGTGTAAAATGTCTACTGCAATGCATAGCATAGGCACTGAACAACTGGTAATTCTCTCTAAGGGATCAAAGGTCATTCACTGGGGAGATGCCTCTAGGAATCATTATTTCCTAGTAACCATCTTCATTCACATTCTGGAAAGATTGTTGTCTAGGAAGAGAAGGCATTTTTATTTAAAGAAATTTTTTTTCTGAAGGTATATCAGCAAAGAAGGCATTTTTAAGAAATAGTTATTTTAGTGACTGGTTTCTTTTCCAAAGGAAAGTTACATGATGCTTATGATAAATGTTTAGTTTGTTCTTTCCAATTCGGAGATGCTGCTTCTTAAAATAATACATTAACTCCAAAGAGTGACACTTAATGATTTATTGTAATTCAAGTTGTTAGCTTGCAAGATCCCAGGGGCCAGAGCTCTACATCATAGACTTGTGTCAAGTTCTGTGTTGTGTCAAGTTTGAAAGTACTGCCTTTGCAGTAGCCTGGAAGAAGTCAAAATCTAGTGGATGGTCTTAATTAGATTGAAGTTCTTTGACTCTTAACTTCATGACCAGACCACCAAATACTACAGGTAGTATTATCAGTTAATACTATTTGCTGCAGTAAACTGAATTAAGCTAGCTTAATTAAAAAGAGGACTTGGCTAGGCACAATGGCTAATGCCTAATCTCAGCATTTTGGGAAGCTGAAGCAGGAGAATTCATTTGAGCCTGGGAGTTTGAGACCAACCCAGGCAACTTAGTGAGACCTTGTCTCTACTAAAATAAATAAATAAAAATAAAAAAATTAAAAGAGGACTTTATAAGGAAGCGAGGTATCTCAGAAGTTTTTTTTTTTTTTGAGATGGAGTCTCTCTGTGTTGCGCAGGCTGGAGTGCAGTGGCATAGTCTTGGCTCACTGTAAGCTCCACCTCCCGGGTTCACGCATTCTCCTGCCTCAGCCTCCTGAGTAGCTGGGACTACAGGTGCCCGCCACCACACCCGCCTAATTTTTTATGTATTTTTAATAGAGAAGGGTTTTCACCGTGTTAGCCAGGATGGTCTCGATCTCCTGACCTCGTGATCCACCCACCTTGGCCTCCGAAAGTGCTGGGATTACAGGCGTGAGCCACCGCGCCTGGCTTCAGAAGTTTTAAAATAGAACTATAACCAGGCCCAAAGAAGGTACTGGGCATCTGATTTTTCTGTATCTCATGGTTATATTGTGTCTGCTTCATTTTTCTCCCTGCAGACTTGGCACTCTTTTGCTTTTGTTTTTCAGGTGTAGGTTGAAGACACTGATTCTATAGCTCTCAAACTTATTATGGGTTACAGGAGACTTAATCTCTCCCAATTCAAATTTTAAATTTTCAGGAAAGGATTTATGGCCCATT